>NC_000015.10:20375254-20532279 GCF_000001405.40 Homo sapiens
ACAACCATCTGATCTTTGACAAACCTGACAAAAACAAGAAATGGGAAAAGGATTCCCTATTTAATAAATGGTGCTGGGAAAACTGGCTAGCCATATGTAGAAAGCTGAAACTGGATCCCTTCCTTTCACCTTATACAAACATTAATTCAAGATGGACTAAAGACTTAAATGTTAGACCTAAAACCATAAAAACCCTAGAAGAAAACTTAGGTGATACCATTCAGGACAGAGGCATGGGCAGGGACTTCATGTCTAAAACACCAAAAGCAATGGCAACAAAAGGCAAACTTGACAAATGGGATCTCATTAAACTAAAGAGCTTCTGCACAGCAAAAGAAACTACCATCAGAGTGAACAGGCAACCTACAAAATGGGAGACAATTTTTACAATCTACCCATCTGACAAAGGGCTAATATACAGAACCTACAAAGAACTTAAAGAAATTTACAAAAAAATAATCAAACAACCCCCATCAACCAGTAGGCGAAGGACATGAATAGACACTTCTCAAAAGAAGACATTTATGCAGCCAACAGACACATGAAAAAATGCTCACCATCACTGGCCATCAGATAAATGCAAATGAAAACCACAATGAGATACCATCTCACACCAGTTAGAATGGCGATCATTAAAAAGTCAGGAAACAACAGGTGCTGGAGAGGATGTGGAGAAATAGGAATGTTTTTACACTGTTGGTGGGAGTGTAAATTAGTTCAACCATTGTGGAAGACAGTGTGGCGATTCCTCAGGGATCTAGAACTAGAAATGCCATTTGACCCAGCCATCCCATTACTGGGTATATACCCCAAGGATTACAAATTATTCTACTATAAAGACACATCCACATGTATATTTATTGCAGCACTATTTACAATAGCAAAGACTTGGAATCAATCCAAATGCCCATCAATGATAGACTGGATAAAGAAAAGGTGGCACATACACACCATGAAATACTATGCAGCCATAAAAAGGATGAGTTCATGTCCTTTGCAGGGACGTGGATGAAGCTGGAAACTATCATTCTCAGCAAACTAACACAGGAACAGAAAAACAAGCACTGCATGTTCTCACTCATAAGTGGGAGTTGAATAATGCGAACACATGGACACAGGGAAGGGAACATCACACACCATGGCCTGTTGGGGGTTGAGGGGTAAGGAGAGGGAGAGCATTAGGACAAATACCTAATGCATGTGGGGCTTAAAACCTAGAAGACAGATTGATAGGTGCAGCAAACCACCATGGCACATGTATACCTATGTAACAAACCTGCACGTTCCTCATATATATCCAAGAACTTAAAGTAAAATTTAAAAAAAGAAAAAAGTTACTCATTTGCAGACTACTGCAGGAAACAATGATGAAAGTAGCTTCTGCTACCAGGAAGATTATAGACTCTCTCTCTTATCATCTCCTCCCTTTTCTAGAGCCTACCATGGCACATAATAAAATATGTTATAAGGTTTTGGTGGACAATATAAATTTACAATATTTTGCATTTTTATTCATAAGTTTACAGAGTATAATATGGCTTTAATATGTAAAAAAAATTTACTGTAAATAAAAAATAATAAAATGCTTAGGAATGACATTAACTGTGAAGTGTTTGGATAGAATATTTTAATACTCCAGGTCATCAATAAATAATGCTTATTCTTTCTTTTTGTAGCTGTTATTCGTGTCCCTGAACTGTGGTCTCAACCACAACCTTGTTCTCCATCAATTCTATCCCTGGGCAGAGCTCTGTTGATGACTGCAGTGCCGTGGCCTTGTGTGTGTGTCTAGCCATCACTCTGGCTCCCCGACTCCCTGCCAGCAAGTTGGCCCCACTGAGCAGCCCAGCATGGTGCATTTGGTGGCTCTGAGAAATCTGATCTCATGAAAAAAAAAATCACAGGCCTCTGAGTTTTCTAATTTTGCCTCTGTCATTTACTCCGAGTCATCATTAAGCAAATCTTGTTACTTATTTGAGCCATATTGAACCCGTGAGTTTGGAAAACAGGCATTAAAGTCTTACTCACAGGCATAAATTAAACGGCATTTCATAGGAAATAAACATTTTGTAAGCCACGATTTGCTCAATTGTGAGACGTTTTTGTTTGTTTGTTTGTAACTATTGTTTCAACTGCAAAGTCACCAAAAACACTGAGTCATTGAAAACAGAGCAATGGTCCTTAGGAAAAATACAGGGTTAGGTTCCTGTGAATCTCTGATCACAACATTTTTATCATCTGATCAATACATAACTTTCTTTTATGTTATTTCTGTTTAGAAATACCTGATTATAATATATTTTTGATTTAACATTGAACTGACAGCCAACAACATTATCTGCCTGAACGAAGCTCATCTAGCACACACAGTGTCTGTTCTCTGTAAGGCACGCTACAGCTTTCTTGTGTACAGGGACACTAGACAACATTCCAGCACTCTGCTTTGAGGCCATGTTGAACAATGAAATCACCAATACAAAGCAGAAAACGTGGTACTAAATAGACCACAAACAGACATGTGTTTATAGTACGAGAGCTGAAAAAATAAGGAAGATTATCACCTTTTTTACTTCAGCTGTGCATGCCGGCGACTCAAATTTTTCACTGCTGTGAACGTTTTTACAAACTATGAAGGTGCCATGAGTATGGGGGTTATAAAGAAAATGTATTATTAGACAAACTTGCAAGTATGAAATCCACAAATAATCAGGATTGACTTTAATTATATGTGAAGGGCACGTGAATCTCCCTCACAGGTACCAAGCACAGGACACCTTATTCTTGTCTTGATTTCAGATCCCTGTTTGGAACCCCAGTATGCAGTCTTTGTCCTTCCTTCTATCGATGTATTGGTCAAGGTTTCCAGAGAAACAGAACAAACATTACCCTACAGGATTGGCTCATCCAGTTATGGAGGCTGAGAAGTCCTAAGATCTGTAAGCTGGAGACCCAGGAAAAAAAATGTGTAAGTTCCTGTCCAAGAGAGCAAGCTTGAAACCCAAAAAGAGCCTATGTTTCAGTTCAAGTCTGAAGGCAATAAAACACCAATGTCCCAGCTCATACAGTCAGGTAGGAGTTCCCTCCAACTCATGGGAGGGTGTGTTTTTTTATTCTAGTCAGACCTTTAACTGATTGGATAATCCCCACATACTTCAGAGATGACAATCTGCTTCTCTTCTGATTCTAATGATAACCTCATCCCAAAACAGCCTCACAGGCACATCCAGAATAATGTTTGAGCAGGTATCTGCACATCCTCCTGTGGCCCAGTCAAGTTAACACGTAAAATTAATCATCATAATTAGCATTACATATTTTATTATCTAATTTTTACATAAATTTTGAACAATATATATCACATATATGCACATTATAAAACTTAAACCACTTCATGAAAATCCCATCAAAGCCAGAACTCCATTTTGGTAATGCTTCTCTGCCGTGGCTCTTTCCCTTTCTGACACACAAGATACAAATGGGTGGTATTCATTCATGATTTCATAATTCTAACATAATTCTAAGAGGCCTTGACATCTCCATCATATGGCCTAAGGGTCAAAAAGCCTTCAAACAGCTAACCTTATATGGAATGCTCACTATAGGTCAGGAGATTTTAAAAATTATTTTGTGGTATAAGTTCACCAATTTTTTAGCCAGGCTTTGAGCTAGCCACAATTAGTAGCACTATATGAAAGATGAGGAGGCTTGAAATGTAGAGAAATTTGTAAGGAACACATAGTTCCTATTATGGAAAGTTCTTCTTCCTGATGGAAAGACAGGAATCTGACTTCAAAGCCCGTGTTCCTATCTGCTATGCCTTACTGCCTCTAACTTCTAACTGGCCAGTGCTACTTCCTACTGTTTTTTTTCCCATTAGGAGATACATTAAATAAATTGGAAATATTTGGAATATAGCAAACAATTAGCTCATGTATTTATGGAACCTGCAGAGGTCTTTAGTTTTCTAGGGCACAGCACAAATGGCTTTCTCTTATCCAGCTTGTTTGGAAAATTCCAAGTCTAGCTGTGGAAATGAAAAACAGTTCTCAGTCCACCAAAATGATTTTGTTCCCAATCTGATGTAGCCTGTTGTGATTTATGCCTTTGAAAAGGTTGACCAACATGGTACATAACTGCCATGCCAATTTCAGCTAAATTACCTCTGCCCTTTTTCAGTTTCCCTGTGAAACTCTAATTTGGCTTGTGAAATCAAGTTGTTTTAACAGTAATGCTTTTTCTCTTTTTAGAAGGTTTTTATACAATGGTAAAAATACGTTTATTTTTAGTTTTAAATATAGGTTATGGAGTGAGATATCATTCTTTTTAAAATCAGAAATGACTAAAATCTGAATCTTGAAATAACAGGGGGAAATATATCACCCCAGCAAAGCACTATGCAGAAAATAATGCACCAAAAGATTTAAAATGTAAGCTATCTATTTAACCTATCTGCCATTCAAAGGAAGGGGTGGCAAGATGGTGGAAAGAGGTCAAGTGAGCAGAAAATGAAGAACCAATCACAATATTGGAGGATCAGAAGAATTGGAAGGGGAGTGACATGATTTTAAGTGGGTTCCAATTGCCTTTGTGTGAATATTAAGAATGCCCTTATAATGATTGTAAAGATGCTTAATGATGTGGTCTCCTACTTAGATCTCTAGCTTCACCCCTGGTTAGACTCCTACACAAACCTTATGCCAGTCATACTGAATATTGTCTGAATCCTTAAAAATTACCTTATGCTTTGCACCTCTGGAAATCCTCATGTTCTGTTTCCTCTTTCTGTGAAGATCTGGACAAACTGACTCACAACCTTATTTATTTTTATGACATATTTTAGCCTTTGGTCCAGATTGCTGGTCTGTAAGGACCTCACTGATTGGACCAGATTCTAAAGAGTTACTTATTTCATTTTCTGAAAGTTCATAGAATCATATGCTTTCTTCTTTTTATTTTAGAGTCTCTCTCTTTCTCTCTCTCTCCATATATATATATATATACACACACACACATAGTCTTCCAAAACTCCTCGGAAGAAAGGGAAGCATTCTGTAAGACTTTGGGCAGATTTTTTTTTTTTTTTTTTGGACAGAGTCTCACTTTGTTGCCCAGGCTGGAGGGCGGTGGCAGGATGTCGGCTCACTGCAACCTCCACCTCTCAGGTTCAAGCAATTCTCCAGGATCAGCCTCCCGAGTAGCTAGGATTACAGGCCTGTGCCACCACACTCAGCTAATTTTTGTATTTTTAGTAGAGATGAGGTTTCGCCATGTTGGCCAGGCTGGTCTCAGACTACTCTTGACCTCAACTGATCCACCTGTCTTGGCCCCCCAAAGTGCTGGAATTACAGGTGTGAGCCACTGTGCCCTGTGATTTTGGGTACATTTTTGTTGTTATTTTGTCTTACCCCATTTCTCTGTACAAAATGTGAAACACATGAGTCCTCTTAACTGGTGCATGTGTGTGGAGGGGAGCATTTTGTTGTTTAGTGCCAAAATGAGATAGATAGAAGTTTAAAGAATGTGACATTTGTAAAATGTTCTCTGTAAAAAAAGAGCAGGTACTTACCAGCCCCGGAATAGAGGAAGACATCGTGCACTGCTGGCTGCTGTGGGGGAGACAAAACTAGCAGGGCACTGAGCAGAGAGCCTCAAAAACAAAAATGTGCATTATCTTGTGTGTGTGTGTGTGTGTGTGTGTGTGTGTGTGTGTGTGTGGTATGATTTTTATATATGAGATGTGTGCTTGGGGCGGTGTGGTTTGTCTGGTATGTGTGCATATGTGTGTAGTGTAATGTGTGGTAGGTGATGTGTGGTGTGGGTGTGATGAGTGTGAGTGGTGTGACTGTGGTGAATTATCTGTGGTGTATGTGTATATATGCATAGGTGGAGTATGTTATATGGTGTGTGTGTGTGTGTGTGTGTGAGAGAGAGAGAGAGAGAGAGAGAGTACATGAGAGAGAGAAAGGAAGAAACCTCTCAACTATGTTGTAAGCATTTAGTAAAATTACACATATAACAATATTCTTGGGGCAGTTGTCTCCTATGAAGGTCAGTGAAGGAGATGAGTTTTGCATAACGAAGATGTATAAGCCAGACCATGTGCAGCAGAGAGAAAGCCAGCATGTGAAATACTATTTTACCTTCATGACTACTACAGGCTCTGAAACATATTGGTGCTTAGAGACATTCTTAAAAACATTAATGAATGATGAAAACATTTAAAATTGTGTCACAAACAAGAAGTCTTTTATTAAATACTTGTTCATTATATTTATAGAAAGGAGAGATAAAGAAAATAGTTTCAAGATTATACGTTTGACAAATGCTTATCTGAAAATTACTAAAGTCATTTTTGCTCATATAAAATTAGTCCTTTCAGTAAATCAAACTATTTAATTTACGGATGTTCTCTAGGTGTTACTGTATAGTAATGATATTCTGCAGGCAATTATGTAGTAAAAGATTCCAAGCATGTTTGTGATATGTTTAATTCCTGACCCTTGGCTTTATTTAGTTAATATTCTTTTGTTCTTTCATTCATTTAATTTAATTCATTCATTCATGCAAAAGCTACTTATTGAGAGATTTCTACATGCTAAGCATTATTTTAGGTGTTAAGGGACATGATAGTGAACAAAACCAGCAAAACTCTCTGCCCTTATGGATTTCACATTCATGTGGCTGCAAATGCAAGAGATCAATACAGGCAAGTGTTAACACAAATTGGAAAAATCAAAAAAGAAGAGGGTGGTGACTAAAGGAACCAAAAGATTGAAGTACAACTTGGTCTGAGAAAATTTCTGGAACGAACTAAGAGAAAATTAATCAATATTCTCTCTCTGTTTTTTTTCTCCTTCTATCCTCTAAGAGTTTTATCTATTTTTTCTATACTTTCTTTCTGAAGGCTGGACTTTGTGCCCTGTAGATAACCACTAACATGATCCAGTCACATCCAAAAACATTTTAATCTAATTTTTGCTTCAAACTCCAAGAATAAGTTTTCTGATTATACTAGGTTGGTCAACTTTTGTCTCAACTGTGACAGATTGGGGGCATAATTAAATGGACTAAATGGTTGCCACCAATATAATGTTATGAATGAGTGAAAATCTAAAAACAGTAATAAAACTGTAGAGAACTCTGAGATCTCTTTTTGACACTCAGGGTGTCCTTATGGCTTTATGTCTATTCTGGTTCCCTCTATGTCTGGTAAAAAGTATTTCCCTTTGGGATTCTAACTCCTGTATGTCTATGTGTGGATACTTACATATTTTTACAATTTAAAGCAATATAGTTGGTTCTTTAGTTTTGGTTGGTAAACGGGTTTGTAAGATTTAAAGCAATAAAGAAGATAACAGAGAAAAAGATGAGCTGGTTTAATTACTCATATATAAACTATTTCAAATATCTTTACATATTCAATATAATATCAAGAAAAAAGGTAAGAGATCTATGTTCATATGAATTGAGGAATATCACCTAGCCATTTTGAGCTTTCATTTTTAATACCTATAAAACTTTCATTATGAATACATATTTATGTGACACATTCTATCTGATGTTGTCCAGGTCCTGAGGGGGAAACATATTTTCTTGCTTTCTTGGCAGGGTTTTTGCAAGGATCAGAAAAAAAGAAGCAATATAAAATGACAAAAGTAATGCATAAAGGGCCTAAAAATGGAAGTGATCACTATTAAAGAAGGTCATGCTGTTAAGAGAGCGTTGCAAATGTGGTGTAGCCACTCTACATATGGCTAAGTTTGCAACATATTTGTCAGGCTTTCTGGGAGTTTACTCAGAGGTGTCTGGGTCATTACCAGCTAGCCATCTGGTGGAACCTAAAGGAATCAGAAGATGAAATCCATTTTTCCTGCTGCATTTATTTGAGCAAGGTGATTTTATCATGCATATCCTGTACCATGCTTTGTATTTACAAGGCTTGCTGGCCATGACTGCAGTGCAGTGTCCCCAGGACACCATCAACACTTCCCTAGGGAAAACCTGAGCAACAGCTCAAGCTTTGAGAGTTTGCTCACCCGTGGAAAGCGGTTGCAGAAGCCCAGTAGGCATCCACTGCTAATTTGAGGCTGTTGCATTTGTATTCTCCTTCTCACACACTGAGTTCATTCTTCTTATAAATAAGAGTATTTGCTCTAACTTTGTAGTTCTTCTTCTCCAAAAACAACATCTGGACATTCTTTCCTGAAAAATACACAGCATACCTCTCCTGAGAATATTTTTCATCTAAAAATGTAATGTTTTAAATCAGGTAAAATTAAAGAGTAGGATTGAATATTAATTCAAGATGGATTAAAGACTTAAACGTTAGACATAAAACCACAAAAACCATAGAAGAAAACCTAGGCATTACCAGTCAGGACATAGGCATGGGCAAGGACTTCATGTCTAAAACACCAAAAGCAATGGCAACAAAAGCCAAAATTGACAAATGGGATCTAATTAAACTAAAGAGCTTCTGCACAGCAAAAGAAACTACCATCAGAGTGAACAGGCAACCTACAAAATGGGAGAAAATTTTCGCAACCTACTCATCTGACAAATGGCTAATATCCAGAATCTACAATGAACTCAAACAAATTTACAAGAAAAAAACAAACAATCCCATCAAAAAGTGGGCAAAGGATATGAACAGACACTTCTCAAAAGAAGACATTTATGCAGCCAACAGACATGAAAAAATGCTCATCATCACTGGCCATCAGATAAATGCAAATGAAAACCACAATGAGATACCATCTCACACCAGTTAGAATGGCGATCATTAAAAAGTCAGGTAACAACAGGTACTGGAGAGGATGTGGAGAAATAGGAATGCTTTTACACTGTTGGTGGGAGTGTAAATTAGTTCAACCATTGTGGAAGACAGTGTGGCAATTCCTCAAGGATCTAGAACTAGAAATACCATTTGACCCAGCCATCCCATTACTGGGTATATATCCAAAGGACTATAAATCATGCTGCTATAAAGACACATGCACACGTATGTTTATTGCGGCACTATTCACAATAGCAAAGACTTGGAACCAACCCAAATGTCCAACAATGATAGACTGGATTAAGAAAATGTGGTACATATACACCATGGAATACTATGCAGCCATAAGAAAGGATGAGTTCATGTCCTTTGTAGGGACATGGATGAAATCGGAAATCACCATTCTCAGTAAACTATCGCAAGGACAAAAAACCAAACACCGCATGTTCTCACTCATAGATGGGAATTGAACAATGAGAACACATGGACACAGGAAGGGGAACATCACACTCTGGGTACTGTTGTGGGGTGCGGGGAGGGAGGAGGGATAGCACTAGGAGATACACCTAATGCTAAATGACGAGTTAATGGGTGCAGCACACCAGCATGGCACATGTATACATATGTAACTAACCTGCACATTGCGCACATGTAACCTAAAAGTTAAAGTGTAATAAAAAAAAAGAGTAGGATTGAATATCATAGTTTGATCTCCCAGACTGGGAAGCACATGGTGTTGCTTTAAACTCGGACGCCAGAGCTGAATTTTTCCAACAAATAACAAATAGCAACTAGAATGTAAGCAAATGAAGCATACAAATTAAATGGAAATGCTCTTCTTTTTAGTCAACTCTGTCTCTGTTTTGCCTTAGAACCCAACTGCCATATATCATACTGACTGATCACTGCTTATTTCTTTAAACTGAAGCCAAAGGTCACATCTTATAGGAATCTTTCCATGATTCC
The DNA here is from genome assembly GCF_000001405.40 of Homo sapiens. Taxonomy (NCBI): domain Eukaryota; kingdom Metazoa; phylum Chordata; class Mammalia; order Primates; family Hominidae; genus Homo; species Homo sapiens. The sequence continues at coordinate 20,384,997 of NC_000015.10, forward strand.
CTCCCTTTATATTTCCGTTCTTCATCTGATGATTTTTCATACCTAGCATAGTTCTTGGCATATGGTAGGCAATTTTGATATGTTAAATGAATGAATTGGGCTTACAACACTGTGGTAGACAGAATAATGCCTCCTCAGTATGTCTATATCCTAATCTCCAGAATCTGTAAACATGCTAGTTTGCATGGCAAGGGGGAAATAATAATGCAGGTGGAATTAAGGTTTCTCTTCAGATGACCCTGAAATGGCGATATTGCCTCTGATTATGTATGAACCCAATGTAATCTCAAGGGTTTTATAAGTAAAAGAAAGACATAAGAGAGTGTGATGATGCAGCATGCAAAAGGCCCTACTGGCTGTTACTGGCTTAGAAAATGGAAGAGGGGCAGGAGCCAAGGAATGAGGGCACCTTCTAGGAGCTGCAAAAGACAAGGAAACATTTTGTTTGTTTTGCAAAAGCAATGCTGCCCTTCTAACATCTTGATTTTAGCCCAGTGAGATCTGTTTCAGGCTTCTGCTCTCTAGAATTGTTGAGATAATTAATTATTTTTTTGAGACAGTCTCACTGTGTCACCAGGCTGGAGTACAGTGGCCCGTGATCTCATCTCACTGCAACCTCTACCTCCCAGGTTCAACTGATTCTCCTGCCTCAGTCTCCCAAATAGCTGGGCCTACAGGCTAATTTTTGTATTTTTACTAGAGACAGGGTTTCACCATGTTGGCCAGGATGGTCTTGATCTCCTGACCTCATAATCCGCCCGCCTCAGTCTCCCAAAGTGCTGGAATTACAGGCGTGAGCCACCGCTCCTGGCCCACTTTGTGTTGTTATACCCAAATTTGTGGTAATTTGCTACAGCAGCAATAGAAAACCAGTATAGATACCGTAATATAGGCTTTTTTGTTTGTTTCCTCCTTTTCTGCTGGTGCCAATGGTGAAGTCATGGGCAGGATCTCTCAATGTCAGAAGAAGTATAACCATAATATTTCCTGATTGAATGTACTTCTTGGAAGTTTAGTAATGAAAATTCATTGAGTTTAGAGATTGCATGGCTCTGATTCCTAGCCCAACACATTTGTGACCTTGGGCAAATCACAAAACTGTACTGAATGTTTTTATCTGTTTAATGGAGACCATAACATACACTTTGCAGGGGCACCATGAACACTAAATGATCTGCTAAAGGCCATCGTACACAGTCAAAGTGAAATAAATGCACTATGGCAGAGATAATCATTTTGCATGCTGATGAAGAATGTAATAAGGCATAAGCACCAAATGTGTGTTGAGAACTGTGATGGTATTTCTTGGGGGTGTTAGAGCTGACATTGGCCTTGTATGAAGGGAAAGGTTCACACATGTGGACACAGCACAGAAAGGGCACTCCAGGCTGTTCAAGTTGTGTTCAGGATAAGACATTAGGAGCAGCCCAGAGCAGCTGCTGGTGACACCACTTAGTGGCCACAAGGGTGATGCTGGAGCCAGAAGGCTTTGGATTGCCTGGTTCCACAACTTCCAGAGGTTGGCAGTTTAGGGTCATTATTCAAACCCTTTGTGCCTCTGATTACTGAAATGTAAAAAAAACAGGAAGCTCTGGCAATTTAATGTGTCAGTACATCTAAAGCACAAGAACAGAGCACTTACACAAGTCCAGTAAAAATTAGCTAATGTTGGTGTTATTTACTGCACGTGGAGAAGTGAGTATGGGGAAGATGTTCTGGAATATTTTCAGCCTGGATCGCTTGAGCAGCAGCCTCTTCAAACCCACGGAAAATGTCTTGTATGGAGCAATTTCATGCACTCTTACAGGAGTGGGCAAGAGAGTTCAACTAGAGTTGAAGTTCAATGAGGATAGAAATTAGATTTTGCTGTTGTAATTCACCTATTTATCCTCAGCACTCAATGTCTTGCCAATAGAGGTACTCTAAATATTTCCTGATTGAATGTACTTGTCTAAAGTTTAGACTATAGCCTAAAGTAGCTTATCAGTCCTATTTTTTGCATAAACTAGGGTGTAATCTGTATGAATGAAACACTTGAAGCCCATTACATCAAGCCAGCTAGACCATAATTTAAATCATTCAGGGATAGGAGTCTATATTTCTCCTCTGCTTGCTTGTATGACATCGGGTAAGTCATTCAAACTCACTTGGTCTCAGGTTCTACCTTTATGAAATGATAAATCTGTGGGTTTTGTTCTATTCTAGTCTGTTACTTTACATGGTTTTTGTAAAATAACAATAATACCATAATTATGTAAATCCCAGTCCAGATTCTATCTTTCTATTTTACAATCTATATAACTTACATACCATATTTTCTAGGAGTGTAACTAAATGTTACTGAAACATCAAGAGTTCAGTCTAGGTCCTGTTGCTTGCTTCACAGAAAGCCAGTCACTGAAACAATGAGTATTGCCAGGGAAAGGGGCTTTATTTGGATGCTGCAGCCAAGGAGAATGGGACATCACTCAAAAATCCATCTTCTCAATGGACTAAAATTAGAGGTAGAAAAATAAGGGAAGAAATGTAACTAAGTATGGAAAAATAGGAATTAGGAGAGGATTAAGAAGAGAAGGTGGTCAACAGGCAGCAGCAGGTTACTTAGGCAACCATAATTGGCAAGGGGTCTGGGTCTGGCATCTCATTGTCCAGGTGCAGTTATCTGGTGAGTTGCAGTTCCTTGAAACTATCTTGGAGGGCTGATAGTTGGTTTCCTGAGAAAGGAACTCAGATAAGAAAAGTGTAAGTTTCTTCAGTTTTAATACTGGGAGGGTCAACTTTTTATTTTTATTTTTTCAAAAGAAACCATAAACATCAGTTCTATAGGACAATTGGGCCAGTTTCATAAACATTATAACATATAAGCAAAGTGTATGAGATAGGTACTGGTCCATGATCAATGTTCAATGAGCCCCTTCCTTATTTCTCAGCCTTAGTAATATTTAAGTGCTTTTCTTCCATAAGTTACCAGGCATAAGGTGTTATCTACAGTCCTCGCAGAAGAGTAAGATGTCTCGTCGAATCTATCCCCTGGTTTATGTCTCCCACACTATTCTTATTTAAATGGAATTATCCTGTTTATCACATAGGCATTTTACAGATAGACTCTGTAATATTAGTGCCATGCAGAGCATTATAGCCATGCTAAAATATCATTTTTCCTGGGAAATAATATCAGTATCAAGGTGTATGGCAAGAAAATATAAATCTTTCAACGGGCTAAGAATTAAAAAAAGAGTAATGATTCTGTACAATTATAGTATAAGAAAAATGAGGGTGGATATTTAGGTAGTGTTGATTAGAAAGTAGAAAACAATCATTTGCTGCCGTGACTGATTTATGGTTTCCTCTCAGTGCACATGTTGAGGTTATTTCCTCCAGAAGGAAGCTGTAGACAAATTCATAATTTATAATATTTAGAAATACACTTGTGATAATGTGGCTAGTGTTAACAGGAGAACAGGAGAACAGCTATTCCAAGGCTTACGCTACTGTTTTTAGGATGTTGATGGTACTATTTCTATGACCATTAATAATTTTAATGCTTGTCAATAAATCTTCTTTTCATACTAATAGCTGCATGAAGCACCATAGGCATAGTAAAAAGAATTAGGGAAGCTGGATTTGAGACAAGCTTCTTTACGCTCTGGCAATGGAATTCTTTCCCCTAATTCCACGAACTTCACTTACCATATCGATAAAATGTGTAAAACATAGTGCGATATGTTAAAGCACTGTAAAAATGATAAAGTAACATAGCATAACCATTGATTTGTGAATGTTAGTTGAGGAATACTACAGTATAGTCCTTGTCAAATCTATGAAAATTATATGTGTATGTGTTATGATATCCAAAGGGTAAGATCTTTTTAAATATTAACCACAGATATGAATTTCAGTGGTTGGTTGGCTATTTTTTTTAATGTAATTTTCCCAGTTACTTCACCCAACATTCTCTGCTCTCTAGTATAATGACTCCCAGATATTCATTTGGGCCCAACACAAAATTAGCTTTTTTGTATTTCCTGTGCAAAATTTTCTAAACCGTGTTATTTTTAAAAGATTAAAAATAAGTCTATTAAGAAAATTGAAGTTATCAAATTAGATTAATAAACAGATATAAACTTGAAACATCCTCTACCACATAATCTGCACATGGCTGTAGAAAGCATAATTTTTGTGGAGCCTCACAACATTGCAAGTAAGTAATTTTTTCATCCCAATTGGTTATTTAGATTTGTTTTCCTATCTAGAAAGTCTGGGTTCTAGGCCTTTGTCCTAAAAACTTTACACAACTTTAAAACTGAATATCTTTAGTCTTAATGAAACCTGAATGACTGTGTAAATGAATTCCTATGTATTTCTACAATTTCATTAAGAGTATGATATATGAAAGTATCACTGAAGCATGAATTTCCTGATCATGACAATTACTGCCACAATCTTATATTCACACACTCTGTGGTGACCCATTTCTGGGTTGGAAATCCAAAACAGAGTATGAATCATATAAATACACATGATTTCAAGATTAAGGAGGTTTTATCCCGACTTCCTTGGGGTGGGAAGCATCAAGGAGGAGTTAATCTTACTGTGCATCAGCCTCTAACCATATTCATGAAAGTGAAAATTTGATTGTCCTAATTACAAATGAGGTTGTCATGGTTGTTATTTTTCTGATTTATTGCCTGTCAATGACAGACACCAACAATAGATCTTGAATTCTTGAAATATAACACAGATACCCCCTCTTACCTTTTAAATGGAAAATACTTTATTTTTCTTCCCTAGAAAAGGGTATGCTGTTTAGGATTGTGCCTGTGTGCATGTGTGAGTGTGCATATCCAAACATGCTTGTTCACATGTTGATTGTGGGAAGTGGTTGACATGTATCAACTAATTTAAAATTCACAACAATGGGAAGGATTGTATTTCCTATCAGTTCATTGTAAATTACAGCTAATAAATGAGATAAATTGAATCAATACACATAGCTATCTGATTCAAACTACTGCATGTATGTCTCTGTGTGCTTGTGCATGAGGGATACATGTATTTGCATGTATACTTACAAAAATTGTTGCAGCATATTGCTAATCCGGATCTTGTCAGGAGTCCAGCTACAGTACTATGCATAATTTTCCTCTGTCAGTTTGTATCACTGGCCAAAATCTAACAGATGTTTCTAAGAGTAAAGGCACTGGGAATTAACACTGTTGTCATTGATGAAGTACAAGTGCTCACACAGCCATCTTTATTTCATGCCTGTGAGGTTGATTAGCCACATTTCTAGTTTGGGAGTCAGGTATGCCTATTCTTATACCTTTTAGATTAATAAAACACCATTTTGAAGTTTTGGGTTGACAATAAAAAATGTACCTCAACTTAAAACTGATATCCAATGTCCTTGCACAATTTTTTGCAAACATTATCCTTTCCACAGCAAATATCTTAACTTTGTTTTGAAAATTAATTTATCATAAATGGAAAAGTTTATTTCTGGATTGATATTCAATTTTTTCTATTGATCCAGATACTTATAGTTATACCAATACCATACCCTACTGATTACTGTAACTTTATAGTGAGTTTTAAAATCAAGTAATGTAAGTCCTCTAGCATTACTTTTTTTCCCGAGTTTTTCTGGCTACTTAAAGGCCTTTACATCTTCAGGTAAATTTTAGGTGAGTTTATGAAATTTAACAACAAAAAAATTCTGCTTGGATTTTGACATTGAATTGAATCTATAGATCAATTTTGGGGTGAATTGCCGTCTTTATAATATTGAGTCTTCCAATCAATGAAAATGGAATGGCCTTCATTTATTTGGAACAATTATCTCACCAATACTTTGTAGTTTTAGTTGAATATGTCTTGAAGTTATTTTATTAAATGTATTCCTAAGTATTCTATATTATGTTATTATAAAATAAATTATTTTCATAATTTCATATTTAATTATTTGTTGTTAGTACATAAAAATACAATTTATTGATCTTACATCTTACAACCTTGCTAAACTTCTTTATTAGTTCTAGTAGTTTTTAATGCAGATTTGTTAGGATATTCTACAAAATGATGTCCTCAGGGAATAAAAACAGTTTTACATCTTCCTTTCTTGGTAGAATGACATTAATGTTTGCTCTGATGGATGTATTGATTGTTTCATTAATAGATTTGCCTTACAATAATGGCAAGAACACCTGTACAATACTGAGTATCTTTCTATGTATTTGTGTTTTATTGTGGATTTATTAGATTATTTAGAAATGTGCTATTTAATACCTAAGAATTTGGATATTTCCCGTCTCTCTTGATTTCTCGTTTAATTACACTATGTACATAAATAATATATTACATTAATTTGAATCACTCAAATTTGTTAAAGTTTCCTTTACAATATGTCTGTTTTGGTGAATGTTCCCCATATACTTGAAAAAAATATGCCATTCATGTGTTTGAGTAGAATGTTCTATAAACATCCATTAGATCCAGTTGCTTGATAATGTTGTTCTAAATTCTTGCGGTTTTCTATCCATTTATCATTTACAGATAAATGTTGAAGTTCTCTATTGTGAATCTGTATGTTTCTTCTTTCTCTTCTGTCAGATTTTTCCATTTATAAAACACTTCGTTAGACATATCCCCATTTGAGATTGTTGTGTCTTTTAGGTGAATTGATCATTTTATCTTTATATACTATCTCTTTTTGTTTTGTTAGTTTTCTTTGTTCTAACCTCTGTTTTGTCTCCAGCTTACTACTGATTTGTTTTTGCATGGTATAACTTTTTTCCATGTTTCTAACTGTAGCCTATCTATATCATTGTTCTTAAAGTGGGTTTACTTTAGATGGCGTTGGTTTATTACCTTTTAATACATTATCCAAATCTAGTCTCTTTCATTAGTGTTTTAAGACCACTTACATTTAATGTAATGAATGATATATTTGGATTTCAGTCTATTTTTTCTTATTTACCTTCTGTTAGTTCCCTCTGCTTTTTATCTCTCTTTTTTCCCTTCCTTTTTCTGCCTTCTGTTTGGGTTATTTAAACATGTGTACAAAGCATTTCACTATAATTTATCTAGTTTCAAGATTATTTATTCATTTATTTACACTAGTCTTTTCACACTAATTTGTTGTCCTGGGGATTAAAATTTACAAACTAAACTTTTATAGTCTTCTTAGAATTAACACACTCCAATTTCAATTGAATATAGAAAGCACTTATTTGTACTTCCAAATGTATTCTGTAATCAATTTGTCTATACATTGTTTTACTTTTTTTCCATAAAAATGCATGGTATTTTAATTGAAATTCTAACAATTTTAAATTAATTTAGGAAAAATTACATTTAACATGTTGAGTTTTTCTTGATATGTGTTGACATTTGTTCAAGACCACCTTTTTTTCAGGAATATTTTTAAGATTTTTGGTTGTTAAAGCTGTTTCTTGTTAAATTTATATGTGGTTCTTTTATTTATCTCTATTCTATCTTAAGTGGGTCATTTTCTTTCCTTATGTATTTATTTTTTGAATGTGCATAAAAAGATACTGATCTTTTGAATATTATTTACATCTCTAGTGAATTTACTAGATTCCCTTATTTTTTCCCATAAATCTGCCAATTTTGTTGAGTTTTATTGGCACATTTATGTGCATGTTTATACCATTTACATCAAAGGTGACATTACTTCTTCCTTTCCAATTTTTATACTCCATTTCTGGTGCCTAATCACATTGGCTAACTTCTCTACAATGGCGTTGAATTGTCATAGAGATGGTGGCCTTCCTTGTCTAGTTCCAGACAAAGGAAAATAACAGAAAAAGTAATAAAGAAGCTGCTGGTGTGTTACAATTAAATCAGAACTCTTGTTTGCTGGAGGGTTACATCTCTATCTAATCTACATCTACGTCTACATCTACTGTGTCAAGGAAGTATTTAAGTGCTTTTTACAGGAATTGTCTGTTTAAGGCTTTTTCAGATTTTCTTAAGATGGTTATATGATTTATTTCATTTTTTAGAATTTTATATTTAATTGACAATAAGTAAAAATGATTGTGTACATCACATACACTGTGATGTCTATATACACGTGTACATTGTGGAATGATCAAATCAAGCTAATTAACGTCTATCACCTCACATACTCATTTGTGGTGAGAAAACTTAAAATCTATTCCCTTCACATTTTCAAATATACATTATTATTAACTACAGTCACCATGCTGTGCAATCGATCAGCAGTACTTATTCCTCCAGTCTAACTAAAACTTTGCACCCATTTACCAATGTCTCCCCTTTGCTTTTCACCCCACTCCCCCCACCCCTGGTAACCATCATTCTACTCTCAACTTCTATGAGTTCAACTTTTTTATATTCCAGATACAAGTGAGACCATGTGGTATTTGTCTTTCTGTGCCTGTCTTATTTTACTTAGTGTAATGTCCTCTAGATTCATTTATGTTGATGCAAATGACAGAATTTCCTGTCCTTTTTGGGCTGAATAATGTTCCATTGTGTGTGTGTGTGTGTGTGTGTGTATTTACCCCTTCATCCATATTGAACACTTAGGTTGTTTCTGTATCTTGGCTATTGTGAATAATGCTGCAATGGACATGGGAGTGCACATAACTCTTCAGCATACTGATTTCATTTTGTTGGGATATATACCCAGAAGTGGGATTGCTGGATTATATGGTAATTCATTTCTATTTGTTTGAGAAATCTTCATAATGTTTTCCAAAATGGCTGTAATGACTTATATTCTCATCAACAGAGTGCAAGGGTTCCCTTTGCTTCACATCCTTGCCAACACTTGCCATCTTTCATCTTTTTGGTAATAGGCATTCTAACAGGTGTCATTATTGTTTTTATAAATTGCATTTCCCTGATAATTTTTGTACTTAAGCATTTTTTATATATCTATTTGCCATTTGTATGTCTTTTCTTGAGAACTGTCTATTCATGTACTTTGTTTATTTTTAAATAGGGTTATTTGCTTTCTTGTTATTGAGTAATTTGAGTCTCTTATATATTTTAGATATTAACTCCTCATGAGATGGGTTATATGTAATTTTTTTTTCCCAATCTATGGGTTGTCTCTTCATTCTACTGATTTTTTTCCTTTGCTGTGCTGATGCTGTTTAGTTTGATGTAATCCCATTTGTCTATTTTTGTTTTTGTTGCCTGTGCCTTTGTGGTCATATCGAATAAATCACTGCCTAAACCAATGCCATGGGTATTTGGGCTCTTTTTTGGTTCCATATAAATTTTAAAATATTTTTTCTAGTTCTGTGAAGAATATCATTGGCGGTTTGATAGGAATAGCATTGAAACTGTAAATCACTTTGGGCAGTATAGCCATTTTAATGACATTGATTTTTCCTATTAATGAGCATGGGATGTTTTTCCATTTGTTTGTGTCTTCTCTGATTTCTTTGAGCAGTGTTTTGTAATTCTCATTGTAGAGATCTTTCACCTTCCTGGTTAGCTGTATTCCTGGGTAGTGTGTGTGTGTGTGTGTGTGTGTGTGTGTGTGTGTGGCAATTGTGAATGGGATTTCCTTTTTGATTTAGCTCTCAGTTTAGTTGTTGTTGGTGTATACAAATGCTAGTGCTTTTTGTACATTGATTTTATAGCCTGCAACATTGCTGAAGTTGTTTATCAGCTGAAGTTGATACTGATTTTAATGATAAAAAATTCCTCCAATATATGATAAATCTAGACAATAGGTTTTATTGTATTTTTTGAGATTGTATATGTTTCTTTTATATTTCCTGTTTGATCACAGTATTTAAAATATTTTAATACTATTAAATGTAAAGTATTTTTTAAATTTTGTCATTAATTTCTACTTATATGTGATTTCTGATTAATACATTTGTATTATTCATTTTCTTGTAATGTGTCAAGTTTTTCCTTGTAGTCAACTACAACAAATTTTATGAATATTCTATTTTTATTTGAAAAGACTGTGTGTGTGTTTATTACCTTCTTAATCATGCTCTTTTCATTTTCTATATCTTTACTAATTTTTGTTGATTTTATTTGTCCTGGATTGAGAATCTGTGTTTTAGATTCTTCATTTTAGTGTATTTTTCTCTAAAGCATTTTTTAGTTTTATTTTCTCTTACAAACTTATTTTTATTTTTTCTTGAAGCTCTGTATTTTCTTCCTCATGAAGATTTTTGCTGCATTATTGAGGCTATAGACATTAATATCTGGTGTTTTCTTTGAGTATTAAAACTTTTAATATTATAAAGTGAACTAGAATCTATTATGATTTTATTCTGAAAGTAATCATGCTAGACACTAATATTTTATTCTTCACTCTCTTCCTACTTCTCCATAGTTCATCATTGTCACGTTTTTATGTTTAGGCTTTCTGGATTTCATTGTTTTAGGTTTGTCTCGAGTGTTCTGGATAGGGTGAGTAAGCCTCTCTAACTTTTTAAATATTATCAATACGTTTGGCTTCAGTTCTCTTGTGGTCGTTTCATTTCTATTTTATTTTTTTCTATCACTTTTTATTATTTAAGTTTTATACTTTCGTTCAAATGCTCAAATTTTTATACTTACTTTTGTATGTAATGTTCTCATCTCTGTCCCCCAAATTTGGATACGGTGTATCGGTTCCCTACTATTAGCTATAATGAACTTTACCAGTCAACTCTTCTTCCTCCTTTTCTCCTTTTCCTCCAAGATTTAATGTGAAGTAAAAATCTTTTATACCCATAGTTTTGTAGTTCAACTCTATCTTCTTTATGAGACATATACAATACCTTTTTCATTATGATGTTCATTTTATTTCAGTTTACCAGAAAAAAACAATATTAATTTACTACTCATGGCTAAATTTTTATGTTGGTGTCCTCCTTTTTTTTAAATTATATGAAGCTTGCTTTCTAATAGATATTTCTCTTTTTAAGTTATCTCTTTAGTATTTGCTTGGCTAAATGTCATCTTACTGAAAACCAAAAACTAAATTCAAATTTTCACAAAAATAGCTAACCCCAGTAATGATTTCTGTATCTGATGTTATATAGATTTTTATTGAGGGGAATTTCACTAGAATGGAAAGTTTTTTCTCTACACCCCAGAGTGTGATATCATTACTCATTTGTATCCACTCTTAATTTTCTTTCTAAGTTGGAGCTTGTCTTTTACTTGTGAACACTTTTATCACTTCCACTTGCCCTCACTCACTCTTTTCTCCCTTTGCCTCTTTTTAGCACTTCTCTTCAGGGTTTAGCTAAGTGCCACATGTGTTTGCAAAAATCTAAATCTTGGGAACACCTGGATATTTCTGCCTATGCAGGTGATTGCCTTTTTTGTTGATTGCTTCTGGTGTGCTTTTTTGGTTCTCACTCTCCATCAAAGATTAGTTTTTCAAGTTATGAGTTCTTGGAGGAAGATGCTACGTGAAACATAACTTTACCATCTTTAGCTGCAATCTTAATTCCACTTGATCACACAAATCTTGCTTTCCTATTTGTATTGACTATATCTCCTCTATGGTTTAACTTATGCATGTAAGGAATAGCAGTTCTGCCATTGCCTGTACAGAGATGAAAGTGTTCTTGATCTAAATGAGTGTTTTCAAGTCAGATGACTTTTTATATTTATTTTCTAAAGAAATAATACAATATTTATCATTTAATAGTTTAAAAGTATATTAATATATCCCTACCATTACTTGAGAAAATGACATATGGAGATAATTGTATCCCAATATGAAAATAAAGAGGTATGGATATTTTTTAGACATAAAATATGGGTAGGACATAAGTGGCCACAAATACTAAAGTGTTTCTTTTTCTACTTACATTACAGTGTGAAAAAGTTAGTCTAGCACTAGATGAGTAAGAGTCAAATAAGACAATGATTAGGAAGACAGTGTCTGGGAAGCCAACATTCAAAGAGCTACTAAACTATAAATTAAGTCAAATTTCCCAATGCTTTAATAGTAAATTGATACTCTATCAAATAATCATATCTTATTAATAAAGCAGCATCATTACAACTGAAAAAATTATGCAAGAGTAAAATGAATCATTTGTGACTTTCTGAGAAAAATATATTTTGGTTATCTTTAGAAGAAAACAATTGATCTGCAGTCGAATTACCTTAGCAAAATAAATTTAAAATTAGATTTGGAGTCAGCTAACAATTGCGATTTGCATTTCAAAATAATTTGTTAGGAATTCAAAGTATATTATTTCATATAAGTTGAAATACAAATTGAGACATCTGCCAAATTTTACCTCAAAGATGGAGTAATTCATTGAATCATTTATGATTTGAAATACTGTTTTTTACCTTTTCTCAGGTTAACAAAAATCATGAGAACTGCTTTATTGAACACCAATTTTTGCCAGGCTAAGCATTACATATGCATATACACAAATACACACACATACTGTGTATATTACATGTATGTACTCTCTACTTCACAAAAAATACTTGCAAGAAAATATTTATAAACCCATTTTACATGTGAAAAAATAGGCTCAAAAAGGTTGGTTACATTTCCCTCAGTTAAAGAGCTCATATACTGCAGAGGTGATAACCAAACCTGTTCCATCTATTCTACATCTTTCTGATGCTGCTCTACGTTTTCAAACTTCAATATAAAAAATGGTTAGCAATTATATTTATATAGATATTTGCAGTGTGTGAAGGAGATGAGAAAACATTTAAATTAACTTAGAGTGATCTCACTGACTTTTACTTTCAAGCACCTAGGATGTTCTCATGCAAATAGCTCTTGTCAATACATTTTTTTCATATAGCACTGAAGATAATGATGGATCATTTTCAATTAAAAATCTAATGTCTCAGACAGACGGAATCATGAATCTACATTCTTTTAAGTTACAAGAAATAATATAATGAGATATGCATACAACACTACCAGTAATAAGCCTGAGATATGGTAAATTTAGTGCAATAAGTTGTTCATAAATGTGTCTCTATGGAATAATAAAAGGTACAGAGAGAGACAATAGTAGGTGTACAAAAGATGCTCTTAACAGTCTTGTTTCAAAGTCCAGACCCTTTTGAGTAGTAAATAACTATAAATGACCTCCTATTTGAAAATAACAATTAGTTAGCTGAGTCTTATTATTTACAATTGTTTAGACTATTCCATCAATTTATCCTTTTACAGTGCTTTCCAATGTGTCTGCTAGAATATTTAGTGTTTTCCTTACTTCCTTTATTGTCTCTCAATATAAATACCCCTTAATATGCTAAATACCTTCTCTTCTATTTTCATCAGAAGCTGATTCTCGAAGGAATGATACATACATTATCGTCATCTTATTCAATTCCCATTCACTTTTCAACAGACTAAAATAAGAAATCCATATTCACTACTATTTTCAGGGATTGATATCGCTCTACTTTCCCTGACAATTGTTTCCACAACCCTGGAATTTCCTTCCTCCTTTTTATATTTCCACAAATTCTTTCACCACTCAGCTAGAACACTCACTTTCGTAGACCAAGAAACTTAGTTCAGCCATCAACTTGTCATTTTTTTTATGTGTCTTCTAGGGTAAACAAATTTTGTTAAGTATTAAGGAATTACTTGCTCAAGGGACATTTATTCTCTATTGTCCAAAAACTCTGAGTCCTAATTTGTTTGCTCTTCTAGTCACCTCTAATGACAGCCCTGTTGATATTTAGCTTAGAGGGTACTTTCTTAATTGAGCTGAAATATATTAGAGAGAAAAACACACAAATCAAGGGCAAGTCAGAATGTAAAGTTGTTCCTAAAATGGCAGGACAATTATAGTAAAATAGGCCAGGTGCAATGGCTCACGCCTGTATTCTCAGCACTTTGGGAGGCCAAAGCGGGTGGACCACTTGAGGTCTGGAGTTTGAGACTAACCTGGCCAACATGGTGAAACCCCATCTCTATTTAAAAAAATACAAAAATTAGCCAGGTGTTGTGGTATGCAGCTGTAATTCCAGCTACTTGGGAGGCTGAGGCAGGAAAATCACTTGAACCCAGGAAGCAGACGTTGCAGTGAGCCGAGATCTCACCACTGCACTCCAGCCTGGGCAGCAAAGCGAGACTCCAACTCAAAAAATATGTATATATGATAAAATAAGAGCAAACATATTTTATATCACAAGGCAAGTTAGTTACAGTAAATTGCAGGTGCAGATGAAGTAGTTATCAAGGAGCTTAAGTACTGAATCTGAAAGAAACTCCAGCTTTATTTACAGTGAATACTGTAAATAAGACATTTTCTATATTATTATAACAAATTTTTGTAAGTATATTTTTCTTATTTATAATTCAGTATTTTTGTATTAAGGTGCATTGATTAATGATAATTTACTTTCTATCTCAATTATGAAGATGTATAATTTCTCTTTTTTTTCTCTTTTTTCTTTCCAATGTTTATTTTAAGTTCAGGGATACATGTGCAGGATGTGCATGTTTATTACATAGATAAACATGTGCCATGGTGGTTTGCTGCACAGATCATCCCATCAACCAGGTATTAAGCCCAGCATGCATTAGCTATTCCTCCTGATGCTCCTCCTCCTCCCAGCCCCATCCTCTGACAAGCCCTAGTTTGTGTTTTTTCTTATCATGTGTCCATGTGTTCTCATCATTCAGCTCCCACTTATAAGTGAGAACACTTATTTTGTTTTCTGTTCCTGAATTAGTTTGCTAAGGATAATGGCCTCCAGCTCCATCCATGTTTCTGCAAAGGACACAATCCCATTCCTTTTCATTGCTGCATAGTATTCTGTGGTGTATATGTACCATATTTTCTTTATCCAGTCTATTATTGATGGGCATTTGAATAAGAATGTAAGAATAACTTATATTCTTTTGGGTATATACCCAGTAATGAGACTGCTTGATTGAACGGCATTTCTGCTTCTAGGTCTTTGAGGAATCACTATATTGTCTTCCACAATGGTTGAACTAATTTACACTCCCATAAACAGTGTAAAAGCATTCCTTTTTCTTCAGACCACGGCAGCATATGTTGTTTCTTGACTTTTCAATAATCGCCATTGTGACTGGTATGAGATGGTATTTTATTATGGTTTTGATATGCATTTCTCTAATGATTAGCAATGTTGACCTTTAAAGCCAGAGTGGCTCCTTTCCTCCAAATGACCACAACACCTTTCCAGCAAGGGCTCAGAACTGGACTGAGGCTGAGATGGCTGAAATGACAGAAGCAGGCTTCAGAATGTGGATAAAAACAAACTTTGCTGAGCTAAAGGTATCTGTTGTAACCCAGTGCAAAAAAGCTAAGAATCATGATAAAACAATGGAGGAACTGAAAGCCAAAATAGGTGCAATACAGAGGAACATGACCAACCTGACAGAGCTGAAAGACACACTACAAGAACTTCATAGTGCAATCACAGTATTAATAGCAGACTAGACCAAGAATATTAGAGGTTGAAGACTCTCTGTCTGAAATAAGACAGGCAGACAAGAATAGAGAGATAAGAATAAAACGGAATGAACAAAACGTTTGGAAAATATGGGATTATGTAAAGAGATGGAATCTACAACTAATTGCGGTACTTGAACGAGACAGGGAGAATGGAAGCGATTTGGAAAATGTACTTCAGGATACCATCAAGGACATCTTCCCCACCTAGCAAGACAAGCCAACATTCAACTTCAGAAAATGCAACAAACCCCAGTAAGATGCTCCATGAGAAGATCATCCCCAAGATACATAATCATCAGATTCTCCAAGGTCGACATGAAAGAAAAAATGGCAGCCAGAGAGAAAGGCCAGGTCACCTACAAATGAAAACCCATCAGACTACAGAGGACCTCTCGGGGGAAACCCTATAAACTAGAAGAGATAGGGGGGCCAATATTCAACATTCTTAAAGAAAGAATTTTCAACCTAGAATTTCACATATGGCCAAACTAAGCTTCATAAGCAAAGGAGAAATAAGATCCTTTTCAGACAAGCAAATGCTGAAGGAATTTATTACCACCAGACCTGCCTTATCAGAGCTCCTGAAGGAAGCACTAAATATGGACAGGAAAAACTGTTACCAGTCACTACAAAAACACACTGAAGTACACAGACCAGTGACACTATGAAGCAACTACATAAACAAATCTGCAAAATAACCAACTAGCATCATGATAACAAGATTTTTTTTTTTTTTCTTAAGACAGGATCTCACTCTGTCACCCAGGCTGAGTGCAGTGGCACAATCACGGCTCACAGCAGCCTCGACCTGTCAGGCTCAAGCGATCCTCAGCCTGCCAAGTAGCTGGAGCTACAGGCACATGTAATATGCCCAGCAAATTTTTGTACTTTCAGTAGAGATGGGGTCTTGCTATGTTGTACAGGCTGGTCTTGAACTCTTCAATTCAAGTGATCTGCTCACCTGGGCCCCACAAAGTGCTGGGATTACAGGCATAAGCCACTGTGCTCAGAAAGATGTACAATTTCTACTTGGCATTCTTACTGCCCTAATATTAATGAGTTTTTTTATTATGGGAAGAATTAAAATTTTGACATTGTGACGGGGCCTTCCTAAAGACCCAGAGCACTTCTGGATATTATTAGATAGAAAAATCTTTTGTAAATGATTATACAGTGAATAGGATACTACACTGTCCATGACTTGGGGATTAAACTCCAAGAGAGGGTTTTGTGAAATGTGCATTATTTTGTGCTGAGGAGGTAGCAGCTTCATCATGGACCTGGTGCCCATCAGTCGGTTATTAGCCAAAGACATTCATGCCTTTCAGCCTCCCCATAAGCTCAGCTATTTACTAGTTACTCCATAATCCCATTTCTCTCTTGTCAGCATTTAAAAAAAAAAAAACTTTATACTAGGTTTGCAATTAGTTGACTATAATATTACCAAGGAATCTGTCAGTAATTTATATAGTTGCTACTTACCAATGTAATCACATTTGCCTCTCTAGTGTAACATTTAAAAGAATGAGACAAATAGTTTTGGTCACTTACAATGTACTTTTAGTTTTTAGTTCTTTATCTTTGTAACTTTTTTTATTGAAGCATAAAAAGAATTTGGAAAAATTCTCAAACACCAGGACATAGAATCACAGTAAATCACAATCTGCCCGACCCCATGATCCTTTTAGGCAATTAACTCCGATGACAACCACATTCTTACCTGAAACGATAGATAGATTTTGCTTGTCCTTGATATTATATTACTGGAATTATAAGATATGCATGTTTTTTGCCTCTGGCTTATTTCATCAAAATCTTTGTGAATTTTATACAAATTTATGTGCATAGTTGTATTTTGTTTGTTTTCAGTTCCACAGAATACAAATATACCACAATTCATAAACTCATTTTATTGCATACAGAGCGTAAGTGATAATTCTAGAAAATGTCCTTTGTTGAAGGTATGTACACATTTATGTTTGGTATGATTGCAAATATGAGACATATGGTATAAATATGTTCAATAGATACTATCAAAAAGTGTTCCAATGTGGTTTTTTTTTAATGAAACTCTCGGCAGATTTAATTTTTTTAATTGTGGTAAAATATACTTAATATAAAATTTGTTATATTCAACTATTTTTATGTGTACAATTTATTGGCATCAATTACAACATAATGTTGTGCAACCATTACTACTATCTTTTTCCAAAAATTTCCTCACCTAAACAGAAACACTGTACCCATTAAGCAATATCTTTCCATTTCTGCCTTTCCCCTGGTAATCTCTTGTACATTCTTTTTCAATGAATTTGCCTTGTCTGGATAATTCATGTAAGTGGTATCATGTAATATTTTCCCAGGCAACTTAAATCACTTAGCACAGTATTTTCAAGGTTCATTCATGCGGTAGCATGTATCAGAACATCATTTCTTTCTCGGACTGAATAATATTCCATTGCATTCATATACCACATTTTCTTTATACATTCTTCTGTTGACGGACATTTGGGTTATTTCAATCTTTTGGCTATTGTAAATAATGCTGCAATGAACATTGGTATAAAAGTATCTGAGTCCCTGGGTATATATCTGAAAGTGGAATTACCAAGTTCTATGGTAATTGTGTAGAGGTATTTAGCTTTTTGAGACACCATCAAGCTATTTTTCACAGCAACTGCACTATTTACACTTCCATCTGAAATTTATGAGTGTTCTAATTTCGGCACATCCTGGAAATTTGTTAGTTTCTTAATTAATTAAATATTTTTTATTATAACCATATTAGTAGGCATGAAGTAATATCTCATTGATTATGATTTCCATTTCCCAAATGATTAATGATGTTGAGCATCTTTTCATATGCTTATTGCGCATTTATAAATATTATTTGAAGAAATGTAAACTTAAGCCAATTACAAAAATTTTATTGGATTGTCCCTTTGTTGTTGAATTGTAATTCTTTATATATTCTGGATATTGAATATTTATCAGATATATGATTTTCAAATATTTTCTCCCATCTTGTAGGTAGTCTTTTCACTTTCTTGATAATGTCCTTTGTTGCACAAAAGATTCTAATTTTGTTAAATAATTTGTTAATTCTTTTGTTTCTTGTACTTTTGGTGTCATATCTAAGATTTCCTTGACAAATCTAAGGTTAAGAATATTTATCTGCATGATTTCCTTTAAGAATTTTATGATTTTGTCTCTTATATTTAAGTCCTTGACCCATTTTGAGTTCATTTTTTAATACAGCTTAACTTTTTTTTTCTGCATGTGGAAATTCAGTTACTGTAGCATCATTTGTTGAAGCCAGCGGTAATTATGAGTGTTTCAATTATTCCACATTCTCATAAAGATGTAGTGTTCTCTGTGCTTCTATTTTTCTGTTATGTAAGGGTTTTATACTTTGGTTATAATTTGTATTTAAATGTACAATTATATTTACTGTGAAGGTCAGTACCCTTTCATATGTTTATTGGACATTTGGATGTCCTATTTTATAAAGTGCATGTTCTAGCATTTGTCTCACTTTTCAAATGTGAAATGCTAATTTGTTTATATATGTTGGATAAGAGGCTTTTGTGGCTTAATTTCTTATTCTCTTAATGGTGACTTTTGAAATTCTTAGTTGTATTATAATAAAATTTTTCATCTCTTTTCATTGTGATTAATCCTTTTCGGTGTTAAATTTTTTTGCTAGCCCAAATTCATAAAGATATTTTTCTGTACTGTCTTCTAGCAGTGTTAATTTGTACATTTATATTTCCACTCAATTTGTATTTATTTTGTATATAGTATAATATAGGAATCTATTAATAGATTCTTTTTTGAAAATATCAATAAACATATAAGTGGCCCAGCAGCAATTATTGAAAAGGCCATTTTTCTCTTATTGTACTTTACATTTTTTTGATCAGCTTGTCTATACTTTTACCAATTTTACACTGTGCTAATTACTAGAGCGTTGCAATAAATCTTGATATAAATTGGAATGAGTCATTTAGCTTTCTTTTTCCTCTTAACATTGTTTGGCTATGTAAGACCCTTCATATTTCTAAACTAATATTGGAAAGAATTTGCCAACCTCAACAAAACAACAGAAAATTGTACCTAGTTTTGATCGATATCACATTGGATCTAAATATTTAGAAAGAATTGTGATTTGTATAATGTTATGTATTTTCATAAAATCACATTGTATACCTGTACTTGTACAGGTTTGTTGTACATATGTATGTCGTGTATGTATATACACAAAAATATATTCTGCTATTTCTTACAGCACAGTTTTGCAGCATTTGGTGTCAATTTAAATATAATTTATTATAATTATTCTCAGTTATTTGATATTCTTAATTTTATTATGAATATTTTAAACTTTTATTTTCTAATTTTTATTGCATATAAGAAAAATTAATCTATATATTGACTTTTATACAACCAACATGCTAAATTTATTTATTGATTCCTATAGTTTGCCAATGGATGCTTTTGGATTTTCTATATATGTAATTGTATGATCTCTGAATAATGAGAGTTATTTCTTCCTTTGTAATCTTGTGGTCTTTATTTCTTTTTCTTTTATTACTACACTAAGTAGAACTTGTAATATCATTAATAGAATTTGTAAGATCAGGGACACATGGCATTTCTGATGCCAAAGGAAATACATTCAACAATTCACTGTAACTATAAAATTTACAGTATGTTTTTGGTTAATATTCTTCGTCATATTGTATAAATTTCCATCTACTTACATATTATCATGAAACATATTGATGGTTGCTTAATTTTATCAAATATTCTTCCTAAATATATCAATAATATGTTTTCTTTTTATTAATATGTAATAAATTCTATTCATTGATTGAAAAATATTAAGCTGCTCTCACATTCCTGTAATAAACCTTAATTGGCTTTGTGATATATTATCAGTTTTCATAAATATATGAATACAGTTGACCCTTTAACAACATAGGTTTGAGCTGCATGGGTCCACTTATATACAGATTTTCTTTTTGCCACTGCCACACCTGAGACAGCAAAACCAAACCCTCCTCTGCCTTTTCCTCCTCAGCCTAGTCAATATGAAGACAATGAGGATAAAGACCTTTCAAACGATTCCACTTCCACTTGATTAATAATAAATATATTTTATGTTCCTTATTTTTTTAATAAAATTTTCTTTTCTCTAGCTTGATTTATTGTAAGAATACAGTATATAATACATACAACATACAAAATATGTGTTAATCAACTGTTTATATTATCAGTAAGGCTTCTAGTCAACAGTATGCTATGAGTAGTTACATTTTGGGGGAGTCAAAAGTTACGCACAAATTTTCAATTGCATGGATAGGTCAGCATCCCTAACCTTCACATTGTTCAAGGGTCAGTTGTAAAATGATTTCATCAGTGTTGGTAATACATTATTCTGTGATTTTTTTTCTACTGATGTTCTTGCCAAAGTTTACTATAAAGAATATGATAGCTTTAAAACAGGACATGTGAAGTGTTCTCATGCTTTTTATGTTCCCTAAAATACTTTTTGTAATATCAGTGCTATTTATTTTCTAAAAATTAGAAATAATTCATAGGGCACATCCTGTGTACCTCAAATTGTGTTGAGGGTATTAATGAATTCATTGTTTTACATATATATAGGACTATTTAGGCTTTCTATTTCTTCTTGAGTCTGTTTCAACAAGTTTTTCTTTTGTGATATATGCATATGTCATATAAAGTATCAAATATATTGGCCTGAAATATTTTTAATCTTCTTCTCTTTAATTTGTAAGAAAGACCTATAGTAATTATCCAGTTTTCATTAGTGATATTAGAATGTATTTCTTTATTTGATTTTACTTTTTCTTTTTTTTTTTATTATACTTTAAGTTTTAGGGTACATGTGCACATTGTGCAGGTTACATATGTATACATGTGCCATGCTGGTGCCCTGCACCCACTAACTCGTCATCTAGCATTAGGTATATCTCCCAATGCTATCCCTCCCCCCTCCCCCCACCCCACCACAGTCCCCAGAGTGTGATATTCCCCTTCCTGTGTCCATGTGATCTCATTGTTCAGTTCCCACCTATGAGTGAGAATATGCGGTGTTTGGTTTTTTGTTCTTGTGATAGTTTACTGAGAATGATGTTTTCCAATTTCATCCATGTCCCTACAAAGGACATGAACTCATCATTTTTTATGGCTGCATAGTATTCCATGGTGTATATGTGCCACATTTTCTTAATCCAGTCTATCATTGTTGGACATTTGGGTTGGTTCCAAGTCTTTGCTATTGTGAATAATGCCGCAATAAACATACGTGTGCATGTGTCTTTATAGCAGCATGATTTATAGTCCTTTCAAACATAAAAAAATGGTAATTTTGTATATATCCAGGAATCTACTATAATAATTATCAAGTCATGATCAATCTTGTTATTTTATCTATACTCCCACCCATTTTGAAACTGCATTGTCCATATTATTTTGAATTAAATCCCATGAATCTTATGATTTCATTTATACATATGTTTGTGTGTTTTTTTTTTTTTTTTTGGCAGAGTCTCACTCACTCTGTTGCCCAAGCTGTAGCTAGAGTACAGTGGCATGATCTCAGCTCACTGGAACCTCTGCCTCCCAGGTTCAAGCAATTCTCCTGCCTCAGCCTCCCAAGAAGCTGGGATTCTGGGAGTGGTGGCACATGCCTGTAATCCCAGCTACTCATGAGAATCACTTGAATCTGGAGGCAGAGGTTGCAGTGAGCCAAGATCGTGCCACTGCACCCCAGCCTAGGTGAAAAAGTGAGACTCCATCTTGAAAAAATAAATAAAAATAAATACATTAAAAAGTACGCAAATTCAACTTCCGGGGTGTTTGTCCATTTTCCTAACTTTTTAAAAAGTAATTCTTTTCTTGTGTTACTTTTTCCTCTGTCATCGTGGTAGTTAGTTAACACTAGTAGGACCCATGGGTTATGCTTCAGTGTTTATGCCTTTTTGTAGTTATTTCCTCCTGAATCCAAGCTTAGCTTATAACTCAAAGACTTTAGAATAGAATATAGCAAAAATATTGCTGTGCAATCCTAGCCTAGGCTTTAACAAAGTATAAAACTTCTACTTACGAACTCTTAGAAGTCCTAAAGTTTCACATGAGAATTCTAGATGAAACTGTGTAAAGAGAAAATATGAAGAGGTCATGTGGAGAGAGAACCTTGAGAACTGAAGAATCCAGACATTCCTCGAATCTAGCTCTTCTAGCCAGCCCTCCACCGCCCAAATCTCCCTTGCTGAGGCACCAAAAAGCTAACGAAGCTGTTGCAGCCTTTCCAGTGACAGCAGGCACTGAAGCGAGCGTAGATAAGCCCACTGCCTCTGTAAAATCCTGACCCTCAGAATCATGAGAAATAACAAGTGATTGCTGTTTTAAGCCACAATATTTGAAAGGTAGTTTGCTCCATGGAAGAAGATTAACAAAAGATAGAATGACACCAGAAGAGGGGTGCTTCAGCAACAAAATATCAAAATATGCAGCACTGGCTTTATGATCAGGTGGAAGTTATGGACTAAAAACCTTGAGGAAACTGTTAGAAAGAGCAAAAAACAAATGGACCTTAATGATATTGGCACAAAAATCAGTGAAGCTGCCACCTTCTTATGTGGAAGATAGCAAATGTGGCTAATAAACTTGCAAATCTGGCTAATAAAATTTCCGTGCAGAGTGGTGAATGCACCAAGTGGTTCCTTTAATTGCCTACAATAAAGAATGTGAGAAGTGAGATGAGCTAAAAGAGGAATTGCTGGAATTTTTTTTTCTCGATATGCCCTCAATCCATTCTAGTACTGTAAAGGCAACATTCTATGGGTTGTTGGTTTCTCTGAAGGAAATGAAAGTAAGCAACAAGAAGGCATCCAGGGAGAAATCATTCCACAGAAGTAATAGGTAGCATTTCGGATGTTACGCTTTTATTAGCATCATCATATCTTAATAATGAGAGGACCTCTGGAGGTCTTTTAGCTCTTTGGAAACAGGTCCACGCATATTTGAAATATTGAAAACTGATCCAGAGCAGAAGAATAAATTTCCCAATATCACACAAGCTGGTGAGAAGCAGAGCTGAAAATAAAATCTAATTTTCCTGGCATCCTTCCTGCTGCACAGCATTGAAGTTCTCTTCCTTTTGCAAAGTGAGACAGGGTAGTGATAGAGATATCTCAATGCTTAACTGTCAAACTGAACCCAGGCTGCTTGATAGCGTCACAGGGAGAAATAATCTAAAGGGCTGAAATGAAGACAGGAAAATAGTTCTCAGCAAGTGGCATCAACTTATTTGGTATTTTTTTCTCAGCTTATTGTTACAGACATGTTAGTGGCAAATCTGAGAAGGTTCTTTTGTGAATCAGGTTATGGCTATGATTGTTCAAAAAGCTCATTACCAATTTATGAAAAGCAGCAAAACTCATTTTCTCTTAATGTGAAATCACTTCAGCCTGTCAGTAGAGAAAGAATTGTTGAAAAGTGAATTGACCACATACGGATCCATTCTTTCTTTTAAAAAGAAATGAAAAAGTCATCTAAAAGGGAAATATCTCTCAATAATGAGATATATGTAACACTCAGCCGGAGTTAAGCCCCAGTTAAGATGGTTTTCTGAATTGGGCTACTTTTCTCATTTGCCTACTGTGGGTACCACACAGGTAGACTTCATAAACCTGAGTTATCTGTCTACTAAAGAGCAGCAGGGGCTCTTTGACTCAGGATTTCATTAAAACAACAAAAGGATTTTGGGGAATAACTGAATTCACTCTCTGGAACTAGAGATACATAGTTTAATACATACATATTCTTTCCATAAATTGAATGACTTAAGTGATCAAAATGAGTTCTGATCACAATTCCTGGTTCCTCCACATTAAGAAATAAACAATGATTGTTACCCATAGTGGCCGTAGAGATAGGTCTATGCTGAGTGACACTGTTTTTCTGTGTTCTGTCTATGGTTCCTATGACCTCTCTCATGCTCTGTCACTTGGGATAGCTAGCTCTTATTCTAGAGTCTTTCAAAGTCTTATTTTTCACACCAGAGCATTTGGCCAAGGTTCAGCATTTAACCACTGTGTCTTTGTCTTTTT
Organism: Homo sapiens; assembly: GCF_000001405.40. Classification (NCBI taxonomy): domain Eukaryota; kingdom Metazoa; phylum Chordata; class Mammalia; order Primates; family Hominidae; genus Homo; species Homo sapiens. The sequence continues at coordinate 20,409,580 of NC_000015.10, forward strand.
TTTCCTATAGCTTTATCTTCCACTCTCCATTGAAAATCCCTGGATATCTACTTAATTCATTAAAGTCAGGAGAGGTTGTGGGCACTGCAGCTTTCTGATTATTTTAAGATTGGCTATCTGCATTATCTCTGCCATGATCATCATTGGTCTAATCCCTCACTTATTTGTTTGTTTATTTTTAAGGACTTAATTACTTTAGAGCAGTTTTCGGTTCATAGCAAAACTGAAAGGATGTAACAGGGATTTCCCATAAGTCCTCTGCCCCCTCACATGCAGAGCCTTTCATTATCAATATCCCCTACCAGCATGGGACAGTTGTTACAAATGATGAACCTACATTGACATATCATAATCACCAAACTCCATAGTTTACATTAGGGTTTACCCTCACTGCTGTACATTACATAAGTTGGAAAAATTTATAATGATATGTGCCACCATTAAGGTACCATGCAGAGTATTTTCCCTGCTCTAAAAATAGTCTCTGCTCTATGTATTCAACCTCTTCACCCCCAACTCCTGGCAACCACTGATCTTTTTACTGTTTTCATAATTTTGCCTTTTCCGGAATGTTGTATCATTGGAAATTTACAGATCGGCTTCTGCGACTAAGGAACATGCACTTAAGATTCTGACATGTTTTTTCATAGCTTGATAGCTCATTTCTTTTTAGTGCTGAATAACATTCTATTGTTTGGATGTAATGCAGGCTATTTATCCTTTCACCTTCTGAAGGATGGATATCTTGGTTGCTTTCCAAGTTTGGGCAATTAGCAATAAAGGTGCTTTAAGCATTCACACGCAGGCTTTTGTGTGAACAAATATTTTCCATTTCTTTGGGTAAATACCAAGGAATGTGATTACTGGTTAGTATGGTAAGAGTATGTTTAGTTTTGTAAGAAACTGCCAAACTCTCTTCTAAAGAAGCTGTACCATTTTGCATTTCCGCCAGCAACAAATGAAAGCTCCACTCCAGCATTTGGTCACGACGGTATTCTGGATTTTCCTGGATGCTAACAGATGTACTGCTCCTTTGTTTTTTGATAAATGAGTACATGTATCTTCAGAGGAGAAGTGTGCTAGTTGCTTATAGCAAGAGTATAAATCAACAACATCTTCATGAAGCAACAGTTGTATAATTTTAAGACATTAAGATAGATTTATAGTAAATTGATCACGAATATTTTATAGAATATAATGAAAAAATTGATAGGTTTTAGATATAATTACAGATTCCAAAAGTATTGTTTGAAATGAGCCACTAACTCCATTATCCACTGAGGGCAATTTTATAAAAAAATATGAGACCAATAACAATAATAACAAAAACAAAAACTTGATACCTATAGGTGTATTTACATTTTGAAAAGCTATTAAATTCTATAGTTTTAAATCTAAACTGCATTGCTCACTGATGTATCTATTTGTGTGTGATCAGCAGACAGGTTTAACACTTTTCGGTTTATATTTTTCTTCATATATATGATAATTCACTCAGTTGAGTGTTTCTAAGTGAACATCCATCATTTGTTAATATCTTATAAGGCCATGTAATCAGACAAGGCCTAATTCTTGAATCTGAATGCCTAAGATACGTGTTCTGGTGTGACCACAACTACACTTTCTAGGTATTTATTGAAAATGAGACTACCACATATCTGCATAAGAACCTTCAGGAGCATGCCATCAGGAAAAAAACAAAAAACAAAAACAAAACAAAACAAAAAAAAAACAGTGTGAGAACAGTGACCAGCAAACTAGACTCCAGGAATCCCCTGAAACAAGTTTTCATATCAGCACTTAAGTCATTCTTTAAAATAATGTTATAAATTGCGCACTTGATTCTCTAGATTCTAATTATTCTAATTTTAAGCCATTAAACGCATAGGTAACCATGACACTTCCATAATCCTTTCGTTTTTTTTTTATTGTACTTTAAGTTTTATGGTACATGTGCACAATGTGCAGGTTTGTTACATATGTATCCATGTGCCATGTTGGTGTGCTGCACCCATTAACTCATCATTTAGCATTAGGTGTATCTCCTAATGCTGTCCCTCCCCCCTCCCCCCACCCCACAACAGTCCCCGGAGTGTGATGTTCCCCTTCCTGTGTCCATGCGTTCTCATTGTTCAATTCCCACCTATGAGTGAGAACATGTGGTGTTTGGTTTTTTGTCCTTGCGATAGTTTACTGAGAATGATGATTTCCAATTTCATCCATGTCCCTACAAAGGACATGAACTCACCATTTTTTATGGCTGCATAGTATTCCGTGGTGTATATGTGCCACATTTTCTTAATCCAGTCTATCGTTGTTGGACATTTGGGTTGGTTCCAAGTCTTTGCTATTGTGAATAGTACCACAATAAACATACGTGTGCATGTGTCTTTATAGCAGCATGATTTATAGTCCTTTGGGTATATACTCAGTAATGGGATGGCTGGGTCAAATGGTATTTCTAGTTCTAGATCCCTGAGGAATTGCCACACTGACTTCCACAATGGTTGAACTAGTTTACAGTCCCACCAGCAGTGTAAAAGTGTTCCTATTTCTCCACATCCTCTCCAGCACCTGTTGTTTCCTGACTTTTTAATGATGGCCATTCTAACTGGTGTGAGATGGTATCGCATTGTGGTTTTCATTTGCATTTCTCTGATGGCCAGTGATGACGAGCATTTTTTCATGTGTTTTTTGGCTGCACAAATGTCTTCTTTTGAGAAGTGTCTGTTCATGTCCTTCGCCCACTTTTTGATGGGGTTGTTTGTTTTTTTCTTGTAAATTTGTTTGAGTTCATTGTAGATTCTGGATATTAGCCCTTTGTCAGATGAGTAGGTTGCGAAAATTTTCTCCCATTTTGTAGGTTGCCTGTTCATTCTGATGGTAGTTTCTTTTGCTGTGCAGAAGCTCTTTAGTTTAATTAGATCCCGTTCGTCAATTTTGGCTTTTGTTGCCACTGCTTTTGGTGTTTTAGACATGAAGTCCTTGCCCATGCCTATGTCCTGAATGGTAATGCCTACGTTGTCTTCTAGGGTTTTTATGGTTTTAGGTCTAACGTTTAAATCTTTAATCCATCTTGAATTGATTTTTGTATAAGGTGTAAGGAAGGGATCCAGTTTCAGCTTTCTACATATGGCTAGCCAGTTTTCCCAGCGCCATTTATTAAATAGGGAATCGTTTCCCCATTTCTTGTTTTTGTCAGGTTTGTCAAAGATCAGATAGTTGTAGATATGCGGCATTATTTCTGAGAGCTCTGTTCTGTTCCATTGACCTATATCTCTGTTTTGGTACCAGTACCATGCTGTTTTGGTTACTGTAGCGTTGTAGTATAGTTTGAAGTCAGGTAGCGTGATGCCTCCAGATTTGTTCTTTTGGCTTAAGATTGACTTGGCGATGCAGGCTCTTTTTTGGTTCCATATGAACTTTAAAGTCGTTTTTTCCAATTCTGTGAAGAAAGTCATTGGTAGCTTGATGGGGATGGCATTGAATCTATAAATTACCTTGGGCAGTATGGCCATTTTCATGATATTGATTCTTCCAACCCAAGAGCATGGAATGTTCTTCCATTTGTTTGTATCCTCTTTTATTTCATTGAGCAGTGGTTTGTAGTTCTCCTTGAAGAAGTCCTTCATGTCCTTTGTAAGTTGGATTCCTAAGTATTTTATTCTCTTTGAAGCAATTGTGAATGGGAGTTCACTCCTGATTTGGCTCTCTGTTATTGGTGTATAACAATGCTTGTGATTTTTGTACATTGATTTTGTATCCTGAGACTTTGCTGAAGTTGCTTATCAGCTTAAGGAGATTTTGGGCTGAGACAATGGGGTTTTCTAGATATACAATCATGTCATCTGCAAACAGGGAAAATTTGACTTCCTCTTTTCCTAGTTGAATACCATTTATTTCCTTCTCCTGCCTAATTGCCCTGGCCAGAACTTCCAACACTATGTTGAATAGGAGTGGTGAGAGAGGGCATCCCTGTCTTGTGCCAGTTTTCACAGGGAATGCTTCCAGTTTTTGCCCATTCAGTATGATATTGGCTGTGGGTTTGTCATAGATAGCTCTTACTATTTTGAGATACGTCCCATCAATACCTAATTTATTGAGAGTTTTTAACATGAAGGGTTGTTGAATTTTGTCAAAGGCCTTTTCTGCATCTATTTAGATGATCATGTGGTTTTTGTCTTTGGTTCTGTTTATATGCTGGATTACATTTATTGATTTGTGTATGTTGAACCAGCCTTGCATCCCAGGGATGAAGCCCACTTGATCATGGTGGATAAGCTTTTTGATGTGCTGCTGGATTCGGTTTGCCAGTATTTTATTGAGGATTGTTGCATCGATGTTCATCAAGGATATTGGTCTAAAATTCTCTTTTTTGGTTGTGTCTCTGCCCGGCTTTGGTATCAGGATGATGCTGGCCTCATAAAATGAGTTAGGGAGGATTCCCTCTTTTTCTATAGATTGGAATAGTTTCAGAAGGAATAGTACCAGTTCTTCCTTGTACCTCTGGTAGAATTTGGCTGTGAATCCATCTGGTCCTGGACTCTTTTTGGTTGGTAAGCTATTGATTATTGCCACAATTTCAGCTCCTGTTATTGGTCTATTCAGAGATTCAACTTCTTCCTGGTTTAGTCTTGGAAGGGTGTATGTGTCGAGGAATTTATCCATTTCTTCTAGATTTTCTAGTTTATTTGCGTAGAGGTATTTGTAGTATTCTCCGATGGTAGTTTGTATTTCTGTGGGATCGGTGGTGATATCCCCTTTATCATTTTTTATTGCATCTATTTGATTCTTCTTATTAGTCCTGCTAGCGGTCTATCAATTTGGTTGATCTTTTCAAAAAAAACCAGCTCCTGGATTCATTAATTTTTGGAAGGGTTTTTTGTGTCTCTATTTCCTTCAGTTCTGCTCTGATTTTAGTTATTTCTTGCCTTCTGCTAGGTTTTAAATGTGTTTGCTCTTGCTTTTCTAGTTCTTTTAATTGTGCTGTTAGGGTGTCAATTTTGGATATTTCCTGCTTTCTCTTGTGAGCATTTAGTGCTATAAATTTCCCTCTACACACTGCTTTGAATGTGTCCCAGAGATTCTGGTATGTTGTGTCTTTGTTCTCGTTGGTTTCAAAGAACATCTTTATTTCCACCTTCATTTCGTTATGTACCCAGTAGTCGTTCAGGAGCAGGTTGTTCTGTTTCCATGTAGTTGAGTGGTTTTGAGTGAGTTTCTTAATCCTGAGTTCTAGTTTGATTGCACTGTGGTCTGAGAGACAGTTTGTTGTAATTTCTGTTCTTTTACATTTGCTGAGGAGAGCTTTACTTCCAACTATGTGGTCAATCTTGGAATAGGTGTGGTGTGGTGCTGAAAAAAATGTATATTCTGTTGATTTGGGGTGGAGAGTTCTGTAGATGTCTATTAGGTCCACTTGGTGCAGAGCTGAGTTCAGTTCCTGGGTATCCTTGTTAACTTTCTATCTCGTTGATCTGTCTAATGTTGACAGTGGGGTGTTAAAGTCTCCCATTATTATTGTGTGGGAGTCTAAGTCTCTTTGTAGGTCACTCAGGACTTGCTTTATGAATCTGGATGCTCCTGTATTGGGTGCATACATATTTAGGATACTTAGCTCTTCTTTTTGAATTGATCCCTTTACCATTATGTAATGGCCTTCTTTGTCTCTTTTGATCTTTGTTGGTTTAAAGTCTGTTTTATCAGAGACTAGGATTGCAACTCCTGCCTTTTTTTGTTTTCTATTTGCTTGGTAGATCTTCCCGCATCCCTTTATTTTGAGCCTATGTGTGTCTCTGCATGTGAGATGGGTTTCCTGAATACAGCACACTGATGGGTCTTGACTCTTTATCCAATTTGCCAGTCTGTGTCTTTTAATTGGAGCATTTAGTCCATTTACATTTAAAGTTAATATTGTTATGTGTGAATTTGATCATGTCATTATGATGTTAGCTGGTTATTTTGCTCGTTAGTTGATGCAGTTTCTTCCTAGCCTCGATGGTCTTTACAATTTGGCATGATTTTACAGTGGCTGGTACCAGTTTTTCCTTTCCACGTTTAGTGCTTCCTTCAAGAGCTCTTTTAGGGCAGGCCTGGTAGTGACAAAATCTCTCAGCATTTGCTTGTCTGTAAAGGATTTTATTTCTCCTTCACTTATGAAGCTTAGTTTGGCTGGATATGAAATTCTGGGTTGAAAATTCTTGTCTTTAAGAATGTTGAATATTGGCCCCCACTCTCTTCTGGCTTGTAGAGTTTCTGCCTAGAGATCCGCTGTTAGTCTGATGGGCTTCACTTTGTGGGTAACCCAACCTTTCTCTCTGGCTGCCCTTAACATTTTTTTCTTCATTTCAACTTTGGTGAATCTGATAATTATGTGTCTTGGAGTTGCTCTTCTCGAGGAGTATCTTTGTGGCATTCTCTGTATTTCCTGAATCTGAATGTTGGCCTGCCTTGCTAGATTGGGGAAGTTCTCCTGGATAATATCCTGCAGAGTGTTTTCCAACTTGGTTCCATTCTCCCCATCACTTTCAGGTACACCAATCAGACGTAGATTTGGTCTTTTCACGTAGTCCCATATTTCTTGGAGGCTTTGCTCATTTCTTTTTATTCTTTTTTCTCTAAACTTCCCTTCTCGCTTCATTTCATTCATTTCATCTTCCATTGCTGATACCCTTTCTTCCAGTTGATTGCGTCGGCTCCTGAGGCTTCTGCATTCTTCACGAAGTTCTCGAGCCTTGGCTTTCAGCTCCATCAGCTCCTTTAAGCACTTCTCCGTATTGGTTATTTTAGTTATACATTCATCTAATTCTTTTTCAAAGTTTTTAACTTCTTTGCCTTTGGCTTGAATTTCCTCCTGTAGCTCGGAGTAGTTTGATCATCTGAAGCCTTCTTCTCTCAACTCATCAAAGTCATTCTCCATCCAGCTTTGTTCCACTGCTGGTGAGGAACTGCGTTCCTTTGGAGGAGGAGAGGCGCTCTGTTTTTTAGAGTTTCCAGTTTTTCTGCTCTGTTTTTTCCCCATCTTTGTGGTTTTATCTACTTTTGGTCTTTGATGATGGTGATGTACAGATGGGTTTTTGGTGTGGATGTCCTTTCTGTTTGTTAGTTTTCCTTCTAACAGACAGGACCCTCAGCTGCAGGTCTGTTGGAGTTTGCTAGAGGTCCACTCCAGACACTGTTTGCCTGGGTATCAGCAGTGGTGGCTGCAGAACAGCGGTTTTACTTGAACCGCGAATGCTGCTGCCTGATCGTTCCTCTAGAAGTTTTGTCTCAGAGGAGTACCTGGCCGTGTGAGGTGTCAGTCTGCCCCTACTGGGGGGTGCCTCCCAGTTAGGCTGCTCGGGGGTCAGGGACCCACTTGAGGAGGCAGTCTGCCTGTTCTCAGATCTCCAGCTGCGTGCTGGGAGAACCACTACTCTCACACTTCCATAATCTTTTCAAAAATTACTGAAGGTGAAAGTTAAATCTGCCATTTTGTCTACTTTTTATATAATAACTATTCCAGAATATGACTGAAGAAATAAACTTTGTATCAAAAGATCTAAATTCAGATAGTAGCGTCCCAATCTATGAATGGGAGGATACTTAGAAGTTATCTAAACTCTCTATCAGTTTTCTTATCCATAAAATAAGAATAATGTGGTTTAATAAACCTTTTGCAAAAATTAACATACATGTTGATATATAAAAAGACTTTTTTTTTTTTTTTTGAGACAAGGTCTTGCTTTGTCTCCTAGGCTGGAGTGCAGTGGTGTAATCTGGCTCACTGCAGCCTCAAACTTCTGGACCCAACAATCCTGCCACCTCAGCCTAGTTGTCTTCTTCAGTAGCAGAGAAAGTTTAGTGGGCATTGCCTCTTCACTCATCTCTGACTAAAATGGAAACAACCAATTAAGAATAAAGTAATCCTTTTATGGAACATTTTCATTTTACTATGCAAACATCTGAATTTGAACACATGAAAATCAGTGATAGCCAAAACAGCTATAAAGGATGAAATTTAATGGGGGGAAGAAGCAACATGGTCCTTTTATTTGCAGCTCATTAAACTCACTGGTTGTGTAGTAGAATTCCACGTCTATTATTAGGTTAGTTTGGATTGTGTGTTGGGCACACAATGAAGCAGTCAGATGTATAGACTAGGGCAATAAACACAGGCGAAAGTTGAGAATATGACTTATTTTTCTCTGGGATTTCAAAATCTAATTGAGCAGAAAGACATGAAAAAGGCAGCTGATGTATATTTTCATATAAGAAGTAGTCAACTTAAACACAGGGTGTAATGAGAGAAGGCACTATCTAACACAAACTGGGAGTGAGGGGGGCAGTTGACTGAGTAAGTGGGGAGCATTCAGCAGAAAGTGGCTGCTTGCATAGTATGAGGAGACTTTATACCAAAACAAAGATGAAGGTCATCTAAAGAAAAGAATACAGTGGTAGAAGTGGAAAAGCTTATTGATACATACAATCCTAGATAAGAGTCCAATATGGCCCAAGAGGAGGTAAAATAATTAGTCTCCTCTACTCAGCTCTGCAGTGCTGTAGACTCTTCCAACTTCAGGTTTATTACTGTCGAAAAGAGAAGCAGAGGCTACCTAAGTGGGCCAGAACACCTACCACATAATGAGTTAGGCTGTAAAAATGGTATTATCACTAAAAATTTGACATCTACGAAGTTTTTATGTGTTCTCTATTCATAACATTTTTAGGGCATAAGGATAGACAAATGTCTTTCTAGAGATTACCTGGGATAAACACTAGTGTGGCAGGATTAGCAAATGCTCATATTCCAGGGCATCATGCTTCCACCCCATTTAAATAATCTGATTGTTTCATTACTCTTGAATCAGCTAGCTCTTGCAATTGCTAAGACTGATTGTAAAGGAGTTCAATCAACATGTCTTTTTCAAAAATAAAAGTAAAAATTTCATGTTTGGCCTGGCATGGTGGTTCATGCCTGTAATCCCGGCACTTTGGGAGGCTGAGGTGGGAGGATCACCTGAGGTCAGGAGTTCGTGACCAGCCTGGCCAACATGGAGAAACCCCATCTCCACTAAAAATACAAAAATTAGCTGGGCATGGTGGCACGTGCCTGTAATCCCAGGCTGAGGCAGGAAAATCGCTTGAACCTGGGAGGCGCAGGGTGCAGTGAGCCAAGATAGCACCATCGCACTCCAGCCTGGGGGACAAGAGCAAGACTTGCCTCAAAAAACAAAACAAAAAAAAAACCCGTCACGTGTTGTTGTTACAACATTAGGGCAAGCTTTCTATAGAAGAGTAATAAAAGGCCACTAAACAATTACCAAAATCCTGCTACTCAGAAATGAAACCAAAATACACACATTGTTATTATTTAGTGAACAGCATTCTTCATATTTCTCTGTGGAGACAGACATATGAATAGACATGTAAATAAACAGAGTAATAGATCAATTCATACAATCCCACAAATGAGATTCTGTACCACACTACGTTATTTTTACTTTTATAATATTTAATTTAATGAATATAATAAAGCAGAAGTAAAATTATAGCAAAAATTATTCTGGCACAAAAAAATTTAATTCTAAAATGTAGTTCTAAATTAAAAACAGCAAAAGCAACAAAAACAGAAGATAAAAATAAGAGTATTGTGTCATTTTTTCTACAATTCAACTTGAAATAGTGACTTCATATTCATATTTAATAGAAGAGGATATAATATTTGTACCTCTATTCTCCATATGGATCGATTTATTTTGTTATATTGTTAAGTTTACATTGCCAATGCTTTAAACAGTTATTCTCCTTTAACCATGATTGACAAAGATTTTGTTTCATTCTAATTTAATTTCAATATTTAAATAGAGGGTAATTTTCAGCATCATTCATTTCACTGAATCTTCACATTCTTGAGTCTGTTATTTTAATTTCTGTCTGGCTTGACGTGTTTTCAAGTCAAGAGTGAGAAGTAAAGCTCCTCGGTGTTTTCTTCCATTACACTTGCAAGAACACATGACTGGCTTCAGAATTCTAGGGTCACATTCCTTTCTGTCAGAATTTAGCCGTCACTGCCTCACTGCCTTCCATCCAGCATGGAGCATTTCTGTGGAAAGTCTTCCACCCTAGAGGCCTCCATTTTGATCAGTTTTGGCTATTTATTCCAAAAATATACTGGACTTCAATTCTTCTTACTGATTTGTTTTCCTTTAGCAATTGTATTTCTTAATTTTCAAAAGCTTTTATGTATTTTATTTTTTGAATTTTTTTACTTGTTACAGCTTCCTCTACCTTTGAGATGTATAGGTGTTATAGATTTTCTCTCTCTGAACATAACTGCATATCATTTTTAAAAGTTTTTTCCCAGGCCTGTATTGTATCTTTTATTATAGATTTACTTGTAATTATTATTATTATTATTTTTACCTTGATCCCTGCCTTTCATGTTTGAGGTTACTGTCAAATCTCGGTTGTCTATTCATTTTTAAGATAGAGGAACTGTAAAACTTATTGGAGATGGTATTTGGGTGATGTTACATGTCTGCTTGTGAATTTCTCTATACTTATTACTACCAGTGTATGGATCTGAACAGAAGAAGTTATGAGAGTGATTTACAATTAATGTAAGTACAGTGAGATTTTACCCTTCTGTTTGGTAGACCTTATTCTCTTGTTTTGTGAATTGTGTCCCTACACCTGGCCCTTCTCTTGACATATTTCTCCAGAGAATAAATATCTAGCCTTATGCCTCATTCTAGAAAGAACAGGTACTGGACTCCGTGGGATGTAATTGGGAAATGGAAGCTCTTTGTTTCTTCTGTGAACTTTCACACCAGCCACCACCAACTACAGTAGTACTAGTGCTCATTCCTAAATTCATTTGTTCTGCAAAGTTGAATTGCTTGTTTCTTACTAGTTTCTGCAATTGTTTGAGGCTTTTTCACTCACAAGTTAGAGAATGAGACTTCAGCTAATTCTTTACTGTGTCTCCTTCTTGTTCTGTGTGTTTTTTGAAGGAGAAAGAAGTCAAAAGTTCTCTATCATCATAAAGTCAAAAATTCATATTTTATTTGTTTTGCTCTTTTCTTCGGAAACATCAAATTTATAGTACATATTGCTTTTCTTGTCATTTCTCTCCATTTTGTAATTTGTGTATGCAGAATTCTAAGATGACCTCTAAGAGTTTCACCCCCTGGTGTGTATGTCCCATGTAATTCCAACATCAAGGATGAGCAGACCTGTGACTATGAGGGATAGTTACTCTCATGAGTATATAAAGCTACATAAGACTTCTTCCTAGCCCACTGGAGAGAGATGCTTCTGCTGGTTTTGAGTAAGCAGCCATGTTGTCACAGGGCGTGGCCAACAGCCTGCAACAACACAGAGACCTCAGTCTTACACCTGTAATGAACTGAACTTTGCCAGCAACTGGATGAGAACTACAGGAAGCCAGTGCCTTAATGGCAGAATGATGGGCTCCTTAGCAGAAGACCTACATAACTCAGGGCTGGGCTCTGGACCCACAGAAATAGTAATTTCCGTGTTGTTTTGTGTTGTCTTGTTTTAAGCAACTACGTATGTGGTGATGGGTTATGTAGCAATGGAAAACTACTACCACACTTGATCATATAATTTTATTCTCCTGCTTTAACTTGATGCTATATGTTATGGCAGGACCATCTTTCCAATGGAATGTACTATATGCTCTGAGGCAGCCTACTCATGTGACTTTAATTTCCGTAATGGTTATAATATTTTACTTTTGTTGTAAGCTTCTCAAATTTACTTTTTATTTTTTCAAATTGCATGGCTTTTTAAACCCTATGTCTTTTTTTCCAACTTAAATTGTTGTAATAATATCATTCGTTTTCAATCATAAGGGAGTATTTGTATGAAATCTTCCTTCGTTTCTTGAGTGATTTCCTTTAGAATGTGTGCTCTTCATTAACCTATTGATTATCATCCTCTCCTCATCACCACCATCAATCACGCTTCTCTCTCCACCCCTTTCCCCAACTTTCACTCTCAGGATTTCAGAATATGTCTTCTCACTTCCTTCAGTCATTTGCCTATTTTTTTAAATTACTCTTTTATTTTAGATACAGGAGACACATGTGTAGGATTGTTACATGGGTATATTGGTCCCAAGTAGTGAGCATAGTACTCAGTAGGTAGTTTTTTAACCTGTGCCACTTTCCTCCCTTTTCTGTCTAGTTGTGTGCAGTATCTATTGTTCCCATGTTAATTTTCATGTGTGCTTAATGTTTAGCTCCAACATATACATGGGAATATGTGGAGTTTTGCTTTTTGTTCCTGTATTAATTTGCTTAGGACTATGGCCTCCAGGTCCATCTATGTTGCTGCATGGGACATGATTTCATTATACTTTATGCTGCATGGTATTCCATGATGTATATGTATCACATTTTCTTTATGCAATTCATTGTTGATGGGCACCTAGGTTAATCCATGTCTTTGCTATTGTGAATAGAGCTGTGATGCACATCTATATGCATGTGTCTTTTGGTAGAATGATCTATGTTCCTTTGAGTACATACCAAGAAATAGGATGACTGGGTTCAATGGTAGCCTTGTTTTAAGTTCTTTGAGAAATCTCCAGACTGCCTTTTACAGTGGCTGAACTAATTTACATTCCTACAAACTACAAATGAGGATTCCCTTTACCATCTGTTGTTTTTTGACTCTTTAATAATAGTCATTCTGACTGGTGTAAGATGGTACCTCATTGTGGTTTTGATTTGCATTTCTCTGATGATTAGCGATGATGAGCGTTTTTTTCATGCTTGTTGACCATTTATATGTCTTCTATTGAGGAGTGCCTGTCCATGTCCTTTGTCCATTTTTTAATGGAGTTATTTGCTTTTAATCTGTTGATTTAAGTAGATTATGAATATTAGACCTTTGTTGGATGCTGATATGGTTTTGCTCTGTGACACTCGCAAATCTCATCTCAAAATGTAATCCCCACATGTCCCAGGAGGGACCTGGTGGAAGGTGATTGGATTATGGGGGCAGTTTCCCCCATGATGTTCTCATGACAGTGGGTGAATTCTCACAACAGCTGATGGTTTTAAAGTGTGGCACTTCCTTGTTTTCTTGCTCTCTGTCTCCTACCACCAGGTAAGAAGTGCCTTCTTCCCCTTGACCTTTTGCCATAACTGTAAGTTTCCTGAGTCCTATCCAGCCATGGGGAACTGGGAGTCAATTAAACCTCATCTTTTTTTTTTTTTAAATAAATTACTCAGTCTCAAGTAATGCTTTATAAGCAGTGTAAAAACAGACTAATACAGATACATAGTTAATGAATATTTTCTCCCATTCCATAGGTTGTCTGCTTATTCTGTTGCTGTGCAGAAGCTGTTTAGTTTAATTAGGTATCACTTGTCAATTTTTGTTTTTGTTGCAATTGCTTGGGGACTTAGCCAAAAATTATTTGCCAAGGCCAGTGTTGACATGAGTATTTCCTAGGTTTTACTCTAGTGCTTTTATAGTTTGAGATCTTACATTTAAATATTTAATCCATCTTGAGTAAATATTTGTATTAGTGAAAGATAAGAATTTGGTTTCATTTTTCTGCTTATGGCAAGCCAGTTAACCTGAAACATTTATCAAATGGCAAATCCTTTCCCTATTGCTTGTTTTCATTGACCTTGTCGAAAATCAGATGGTTGTAAGTGAGCAGCTTTATATTTTAGCTTTCTATTCTGTTCCATTAGTCTATGTGTCTGTTTTTGTATCAGCACTATGCTGTTTTTTCACTGTAGCCTTATTGTTTGAAGTTGATAGTGTAAGGCCTCCAGCTTTGTTCTTTTTGCTTAGGTTTGCATTGGCTATTTGGGCTCTTTTTTGGTTCCACATAAATTTTAGAATAGTTTTTCTAATTCTATGATAGGTTGATAGGAATAGCATTGCATCTGTAAATTGCTTTGGGCAGTATGGCCATTTCAGTGATATTGATTTTTCATTTCTATGAAACATTAAAACATCCCATGAGTATGGAATGTTTTCCCACTTATTTATGTCACCTGATTTCTTTCAGCATTGTTTTCTAGTTCTCCTTGTAGAGATTTTTCACCTTCTTGGTTACCTGTACTCTCAGCTGTTTCATTTTCTTTGTGGTTATTGTAAATGTGATTGTGTTCTTAATATGACTCTCAGCCTGGATGTTATTGGCACATATAAATGGTACTGATGTTTTCTACATTGATTTTGTATCATGGAACTTTGCTAAAATCATTTATTAGTTCCAGTAGCCTTTCTCCTGCTTGATTGCTCTGGCTCTGACTTCCACTACTACGTTGAATATGAAATGGTCAGAGTGCTTGCCTTTTTTTCAGTTCTCCAGGGGAATGTTTCCAGCTTTTGCCCATTCAGTATAATGTTGGCTCTGGGTTTGCTATAGACGACTCTTATTATTTTGAGTCATATTATTTTGATGTCTAGTTTGTTGAGGGTTTTTATCATGAAGTGATGTTGAATTTTATTGAAGTTTTTCTGCATTTTTTGAGATGATCAGATAGTTTTTGTGTTTAAATCTGCTTATGTGGCGAATCATATTTATTGATTTGCATATGTTGATCCAACCTTGCATCCCAGGAATAAAGCCTACTTTATCGTGGTGAATTAACTGTTTTATATGCTGCTGGATTCAGTTTATCAATATTTTGTTGAGAATTTTTTGTCTGTGTTCATCATGGACATTGGCCTCAAGTTTTCTTTCTTCATTGTGTTTCTGCCAGAGATTGAGTTTGAAAGGATTCCCTCCTTTTTTTGTAATAGCTTCAGTAGAATTGGTACCAGTTTTTCTTTGTATATCTGGTAGAATTTGACTGTGAATCCATCTGGTCTAGGACTTTTTTGGTTGGTGGTAGTTTTTTTTTATTACATATGATTCAATTTCAGAGTGAGATATTTCACTATTCAATGCTTCAATCTTTTCCTGATTCAATTAGAGACTGTGTGTTTCTAAGAATTTATCAATTTCATCTACAGATTTTCTAATTTGTATGCATAGAGTTGTTCATGGTATTCTATGGGAAACTTTTGTAATTCTGTGGGATCAGTTATATTATCTTTGTTATTTCTGACTATACTTATCTTCTCTTTTTTTCATTGTAAATCTAGCCGTTAAATAGCAGTCTATTCATCTTTTCAAAGAACAAACTCTTGCTTTTTTATTATTTTTTCTACGGATTTTTCTATCTCAATTTCAGTAAGTTCTCTAATTTTAGTTATTTTTTTCTTCTGCTAGCTTTTTCTTTTCTAGTTCCTTTAGGTGCAAAGTTAGATTGCTAAATTGAGATCTTTCTAACTTCTCGATTACTGTATTTAGGGAAATAAACTTTCCTCTTAACACTGCTTTGGCTGCATCTCAAAGATTTTGGTAAGTCATATTCCTGTTTTCAATATTTCAAAGAATTTTTCTTAAATCTACCTTTATTTTGATGTTCACCTAAGAGTTATTCAGGAGTAAGTTGTTTAATTTCCCTATATTTGTGTAGTTTTGAGAGGTCTTCTTGATTTTGATTTCTATTTTTATTTCACTGTGGTCCAAGAGTTTGCTTGGTATAATTTCAATTTTTTGAATTTATTGAGACTTGCTTTATGATTAAGCACGTGGTTGATCTTAGAATATGTTCCATGTGCAGCTGGGAAGAATATATATTCTGTGGATATTACCTGGGGTATTTTGTAGATGTCTATTAGGTCCAATTGTTAAAGTGTTGAGTTTATGTCCAGAGTTTGTTAGTTTTCTTCCTTAATGATCTGTTTAGTGCTGTCAGTGGGGTGGTGAAGTCTCCTGCTGTTATTGTTTGGTTGTCTAAGTGTTTTCATGGGCAATGAAGAACTTGTTTTATGAATCTGGGTGCTCCAATATTGAGTGTATATATATTTAGTACAGTTAAGGTTTCTTGTTTGATTGTACCCTTTATCATTATGTAATGCCCTTCATTGTTCTTAATTTTTATTGGTTTAAAGTCTATTTTATATAAGAATAGCAACTTCTGCTCTTTTTTGCTTTCTGTTCACATGGTAGCTCTTTCTCCATTCTTTTGCTGTGAGCCTGTGGTTGTTCTTAATGTGAAATAGGTCTCTTGAAGATAACAGATGGTTGGGTCATTTATCCAGCCTGCCACTCTGTGTCTCTTAAGTGGAGCATTTAGCCCATTTACATTCAAGGTTAGTATTGGTATCTGTGATTTTAATTCTGTCATCATGTTGCTAGCTGATTGTTATGTAGACTTGATTATGTGGTTGCTTTATGGCGCCTGTGTGCTATGTGGTTAAATGAGCTTTTGTGGTATGACTGTCATTCTTTCTTTTCCATGTTTAGCACTCCCTTAAGGACCTCTTGTATGGCTAGTCTAGTTGAAACATATTCCCTTAGCATTTGCTTCACTTCACTTTTAAGCTTAGTTTGGTGGGATATGAAATTATTGGTTAAAATTTATTTTCTTTAAGGATGCTGAAAATAAGCTACCAATCTCTTCTGACTTGTAAGATACCTGCTGAGAGGTCTGCTGCTAGCCTGATGAAGTTCCTTGTATGTGACTTTACCCTGCCTTTAAGACTTTTTTCTTTAGTGTTGACCTTGATGAATATTGTACTATGTGCCTTGGAGGTAGTCATTTCATGTCATATCTATCTGGGGTTCTGCGTGTTTCTTGGATTTGTATGTAAATCTCCCTAAAGAGATAAGAGGAATTTTCATGAAGTGTATCTTCAAATATATTTTCCAAGTTGCGTATTCTCTCTCCTCTCTCAGGAATGACAATGAGTCATAGATTTTTTCGCTTTACAAAATCCCATATTCTTGGAGGTTTCACTTTTTTTTCCCATTTTTTTCCTTATTTTTGTCTGAGTTGACTTAAAGAACAAGTCTTCAAGTTTTGAGATTATTTCCTCAGCTTGGTCTATTCTGCTGCTAATACTACTGATTATTTGATAAAATTCTGATAATGAGTTTTTCAGCTCTAGAATTTAAGTTTGGTTATTTCTGAAAATGGCTATTTTATCATTCAGCTCTTGGATTGCTTTACTAAATTATTTGAATTCCTTGCACTGAATTTCACTTTCTCCTGAATCTCAATGGGTTTCCTGGCCACAGATTCTGCATTCTGTGTCTGTTATGTCAGTCATTTCAGACTGGTTAGAAACCATTGCTGGGGAGCTAGTGGATCATTTGGAAGTGAGGGTACACTCTGACTTTTTGGATTGCCAGAGTTCTTGTGCTAATTCTTTCTCATCTGGGAGGGTTGGCATTTCTTTAACTGTGGTGTAAGTTGAGAATAGTCAGTTGGCTTAATTTCTGAATGCTTTTAGAGGCCCAGGGCTCTTACAGAATCTTTATGTGTGGGTAAATTTTTGACTTGGTTTCACAGCTGTATATATTAGCAGAATAAAATTTAGGTGTTGTAGTTTGGGTGGCAATCCAGTGAATGAGGTTTAACAGTAATGACTGGTAGCTAGGTTAATACCTGGTCACAGGGCTTTTTTGTACTTCTTGAGTTCACAGATATGCTCTGCAGTGATATGGAGTGATACGGTTCCCTCAACAGATCTGCTTGTAAAACTTGAGAGAGCTCCCTCTGATAGCTGGTGCTGTGCCCACATTTCTTTTGTTAGTTTTTCTGAGCCACATGGTCTTCTTGGGCAGAAGCTGTGGCAGGGAGATATGCCACATGCTTTTTGGACTGGACCTGAGAAGGGAGGCATGTTCCACTCTTACCCCAGCTCAGGAATCCGTGCATCTCACCCCTCTCACGGCTCTGAGATTGGGGCCTCTTTCTCTGTTTGAGTGCCAGCCACAAATCTTGGTTCCATACTCCCAAGCTGCACACTACAGCCCTGGGGACACTGGGATATCCCATGGCTTGGGTTTGGGTTCTTGCTGCACTGGGGGATACAGTGTGCTCCAGGGTCATGAAGAAAATATGTGGGTGCAACTACACACTCAGGCTGACCTTCCAGGGCTGCACTATGCACCTGCTCCTACAGGGCAGCTAGGCATGGACCCTGGGAAGGGCTGGTAGGCAGAAGGGCTTGCAGAGTAGATGCACCCCAGTCGTGCAGGAAAGCTGGCCCAACTCTCTCCTGGCTTGGAGGTCAGTAGGGGTCCATGCCTCCCAGAGGAGAATGGAAATCCCTGGGGAATGGGCATCTATGGCTGCTCTTGCCTGCAGCAGTCCAGCACACAAAAGCTCCTGGGCTCTGTGCTGTCCAAAGTCTGTCTCTGCCTGCTCCCTAGGGAGATCCCCCTGCCAGCTCACACATCCATGGTCGCGTAAGGTCCCTTGTAGCTAGAAAATCAAATGCTCATGGCAAGAGTGAACCATCCCTCAGTTCCTTCATTCAGTCCTTTACTGGAATTGTTTGGGGCCAGGAATTAGCCCTGGCATTTGGGTAGCTAACTCAGGGTTTCCAGCTTCCTGCCTCTTCAGTCTTGGCTTCGACCTTGCCTCTCCATCCACTTTCAGCATTTTCTCCTTGAATACCTGTTCAAATTATGGTGGTTTACCTAATAATTTGGCCTCTCTTGAGAGGAGTGGCACTTCCTGGCTGTGTCTAGTCGGCCATCTTGTTCGTCTCCTCTATCTTAAAATGGAGTCAACCAATCCACTACAAATAATGTGATTTGAGGAAGTCCAAAGCTCTAATTCAGGTTTTTATTTGTTTGTTTTGTATGCTTTCCGGGTTTTTTGTTGTTGTTAAAAACTATCTCAACAATTTTATTCTCTCCAATAAATGTACATCTCATCTAAATTTTGGTATTGAGCTTTTTTATACATCCTATTTCCAACCAAAAAGACTTGTTTTTAAATAAATGCAACTTAATCATCCTATTTCTATTATTTAGATACTATCATTCCTTCTATCTGGAGGTCTCTGTAATGGCTGTATTAACAGTACTCAAAAGTAATGTGGATAATAATTGTGGATTTTGTTCTTGTTTTTAAATCTGTCTTTAATCATTTCATGTAAAGTTGTAAGCCTTTGAAGCATTTGAGAATTTCATACAAAACATTTCTGAAAGATAAATTTTCTCATATTTTCTTGGACACGCTGATTGATCATTTTAGTTAGTCTCTGAAGAAATCCATGAAAAAGTACTTGTTACTATTTTTACCCACAGCAGCATAATTTAAATTTGAGTTAAATAGGCTTATAAACAAATTTGTATAACCATGATGAAAAATCATCTTCCCAATAGTATAGCTAAACTAATAAAGTAACTGTGGTAGGGATGAGCAATTATAGTCCAAGCAATGTAAACTCAATTCATACGTGGAAAACCACAGGGGCAAGGGGAATACAGTATATAGACAGTGTCAGACAGTATATAGACAGGAGGCAGAACCCAGAGCCAATACAATGTAACGTCCAAAGAATCCAGAATGAAATAAAAATTCTCATATGTGAAGGACAACAACCAATAACTGACTATAATCAAGGGAAAAAAACTGCAAAGAGCAGCAGACCAACAGGTGGGCAGATGTTAGAATTAGAAAACAAGAAATTCAACATAACTATCAGAAATATGTTTTAAAATGTACAGCAAAAGATAGATTTGGCCAGGCACGGTGGCTCACACCTGTAATCCCAGCACTTTGGGAGGCTGAGGCGGGCAGATCATGAGGTCAGGAGTTCGAGACCAGCCTGGCCAACATGGTAAAACCCCATCTCTACTAAATATACAAAAATTAGCCAGGCATGGTGGCAGGCACCTGTAGTCCTAGCTACTCGGGAGGCTGAGGCAGGAGAATCACCTGAACCCAGGAGTCAGAGGTTGCAGTGAGCTGAGATCACACCACTGCACTCCAGCCTGGTGACAGAGCAAGACTCCATCAAAAAAAAAAATAAAATAAAATAAAGATAGACTTAAAGGATGAAGAAAGGAACTGTCAGAAGAGATATAAAACTATTAAATGAGAGCCAAATGGAAATAAGAGATGTGAGAAATATAAAATAAAGTATGTCTTGGATGGATATAACAACAGATCAGGCCCAACAAAGCAAAGCATCTTGACCTTTCAAACAGATCAAGACAAACTAACCAAGCTACTAACAAGGAGAAGAAAGACTTTCTATTAAAGTCATAAAAGGAAACTCACTAACCGTGTAACAGATGTATAATAGTATTTCCAGAAAAGAACAAAAAGAGCAAGACGGGGAAAAAAACAGCAGTCAAAAGTTTCCAAATTTGGTAGGGGAACAAAAATCAAGCCAAAGATGCAAGCAGCTTAAATAAATTTCAAGGAGGATGGTGGGGTGGGCGGGGTGGGCCACCATTGCATACATGAGCCCAGCTTAGGGAAACTGCAGAAAACCAAAGATAACACAAAATACGAAAAGCAACCAGAGAAAACAGACATTTCATACAAAAGAAGAGATGAGAACAACGACTCTCCATCGGAATCCATGGAGACAAAACAGCGGAAGGTCTTTTTTTGTACAACAGTCCTTCTCAGTTCCTGAAGAACAACTCTACACGGCCTTCTAGGTGTTCACACTCGGCATCTCCCAGCATGACTGCAGGGAGCACGTGCACCGCCCCACGTGCTCTCAAGTTGCTCAGCGTCTTTTGATCTCTGCCAGGGAGACTGGAAACACAACCAGGCCCTTTAAAATGAACCTTCACCTCAGAGGTTCCCAGACCTGAGAAGAAGCTGGAGTTCAGAAGAGCTCACGGCCAACCTCCTCCCTTCCTGCCCACACCCGTTTCTTGCTTTCTCCCTTTGCACCCCCACCATCTTTCCAGCTCGTTCTAGGACTGGGGGAGGCCTCCCACCTGTCCAAGGCAGTGGCTGCCTCATCTGGACCCTTGCTCCCAAGAAGGGCCCTGCTATCTGAGGGTTTCTGTTAGAGTAATTTCTGATTGCCAAACTGAGTACTGATAGTTTTATTTTTGTCTCTGATATTTTGTCCAGATTTTTAATGTATTACACAGCAAGAAAGATTTTGGAATGAACATCTCTAATCCTCTATGTTGCCAGCCATGAAAGCTCCCATCCCTCTTACACTCAATCACGTCGCCTCCTCTATGCGAACGTCCCGTAGCCCTGACCCTGTGCCTCGCTGCTGCCCTCACCTGCTCCACAGCATGGAGAGAGCGGAGAGGCTGGCGGCACCAGAGCACCCCCAAGAGGCTCCTGAGTGAATGAAACAGACAAACGGCTGCCAGAGTCCTGACGAGCCTCTTTGAATAATTCTACTTCCTGGAAAAAGATCCCTTCATGAAGATGTGAGCGTTTAACCCATGCTGCATCTAGTTAATATTTTTTCACAATTTACACAAACCCAAAATAAGGTTAAACTTCAACCCTCTCAGTCTTTAGTATTATAATGTTCTGCAGACTATGCACAAACATGGTTAAACCCCAATGAATCATTAGAATTATTTGCGTACTATCATTTAACATTCAGAATAGATCCTTAAGAAAATATACATCTAGAAAAAAAGTGTTCACAATTTAGTGCTGTGGATTAAAAACTGTCAAGGCTGCATGGCTGTACCTCAAGTTCCTGTTTATCAAATATGGCCTTCACAGGAGACGGCTGGGTGGCCGAGGCCAGCAGCTGCTGCAAGAGGATCATGGGGGGCTGCGGCCCTTCAGGAGACATGTCCCCAAGGTCAGGTGATACCACTGCTCCATCATCTGAATTTAAAAACAAAATATGTGTAAGATTCTATTTTCAACTGTGAACACCACTTTACTATTAAAGAAAATGCATTAAGCATGTTAAATCAGGTATGACTTCTGCCTCATTATGTGATAGAAAACCAAAATCTTCAAGGTTCAGACATCGAACAAAAACTAGACTCTAGGTTGGGTGCGGTGGCTCACGCGTGTAATCCCTGCACTTTGGGAGGCCAAGGCGGGTGGATCACGAGGTCAGGAGATCGAGACCATCCTGGCTAACACAGTGAAACCTCATCTTTATTAAAAACACAAAAAAATTAGCCGGGCATGGTGGTGGGCACCTGTAGTCCCAGCTACTTGGGAGGCTGACACAGAAGAATGGCATGAACCTGGGAGGCGTAGCTTGCAGTGAGCCGAGATCACGCCACTGCACTCCAGCCTGGGCGACAGACCAAGACTCGGTCTCAAAAAAAAAAAAAAAAAAAAAAATTAGCTGGGCATGGTGGTGCGTGCCTGTAATCCCAGCTACTCGCAAGGCTAAGGCAGGAGAATTGCTTGAACCAGGGAGTTGGAGGTTGCAGTGAGCCAAGATCACGCCACTGCACTCCAGCCTGGCAACAGAGCGAGACTCCATCTCAAAAAAAAAAAAAAAAAGGAACTAGACTCTAAACCACTTTCACTGCCTGCTTTTGGTCTCTGTCCTTCATTAGTGCATCTGTCTCTTAGAGCCAGCAAATGCTCCTTCCCAGATTTCTGCACTTGGTCTGATTCTTTCTCTTTTTCTTGAGATGGAGTCTCACTCTGTTGCCCAGGCTGGAGTGCAGTGGCACAATCTTGGCAAACTGCAACCTCTGCCTCCTGGCTCAAGTGATTCTCCTGCATCAGCCTTCCCTGTAGCTGGGACTACAGGCACATGCTACCACGCCTAGCTAATTTTTGTATTTTTAGTATAGATGGGGCCAGGCTGTTGATTAGATTTCACCATGTTGGCCAGGCTGGTCTCCAACTCCTGATCCACCCGCCTCGGCATCCCAAAGTGTTGGGATTACAGGCGTAAGCCACCATGCCTGACCTACACACTCTCTTTCATGTTCACTCACGGCTTCAGTAACCCCTGACACAGACACATCCCACGTGCATATTTCTAGCTGTAGCTTTTCCAGCTAAGCCTTGTTGAGATCATTAAGTGACCCCAATTCCAAATGTGTCATGTGCTCAGGGTGATGGCTTTTTGTCTGTTATGAGTAGCTTTAGGTGCAGCCTTTAGGACTCTGTTTGACACAGCCCCAGGGAGATCCACTGCGCTCAAGCCCACTTCACACATCTAGGTACTCATCCAGGTACTCACAGCATTTGCATGTGCTGGTTTTCTTCAGTGACAATTTCAACTAACTAGACCAGGAGCTGGAAATCTTTCTCTTAAAGGGCCAGAGAGTAAATAGTTTAGGCTGATGGGCTGTACAGTCTCTGTCCCAACTACTCAGCTCTGCCATTGCAGAGCAAAAGCATCCAGAGACGATGTGTAAACAAGTGGTGTGCCTGTGTTCCCATAAAAATTTACAAAAACAGGTGCACGGCAGTTTTGTCAATCTAGCTCTGTTCGGAGTCCCTGCTCGGCCCAAAGCACAGACTTGATCATCCTGATTCAGGTCTGCTGTAATTGCTCATCGGGCTGAGTGCAGAACAGAACAGCCAATCCAATTCCCAGGCTCCAATCTCCCAATCTCTACAACTGGGAAATCTTCATGTTCCCTACGACCTCTACTATTAATTGATTCTATACTTTCAATTGATTTCTTTCATCCTCAGCAGGTTTAAAATTAATTTCATAGCATCCTCTCCTCTTAAGAAGCAAACGCACACACTCCACATTCTACTGGACTTATTTGTTTCAAACACACTACTCAATATTCCTCCCTCAACTCAAGCTTGAAACAGCAGTCACCTTCCACTTTTTGCTGGTTCCCCATAAAGTTATCATCTACAAGACTACACCATCACAGTGGATGGCACCTTCCTTCCACCAGAACCTTCTTTCCCTTTTCATGCCTTCCCCCTCATCACCTGACGCAGGAGCAATTCTCCATCTCTGTCATCTCCTGTTTCAGATACTCCTATACCTTCCTAGCAGGTGTATCACCCGAAGGTCAATGCTTACCATGTGGCCCCTACCACAGCTTTCCAAGTGGGCCTCAAGTTTCACCCTGGTCTCCCAGGTACTCTGTAACAGGATGTCAGCTGCCCATCTAGCTTCAGCCCCACCACTCATCGAAAAACCCTGAGCTCCAAGAAGAGGAGAGCTGCTCAACGTGCTTCCAAAGACTCACCACGTTCACTCCTCTCCTCCTGCCTCCACCACCAGCAGAGTGCTTGTCTGCTGGCATCTGTCTGCCACAGCCTTCAAAGGCTGCCCGTCCAGTGCTCAGCTGCCACTGGCTCCAGACGCCTGTGGAACCACTCACATGCCTCACCGCCCCCTGGCCCCAGAGAACAAAGAGAGCCATCTGCATTCACTTCCTCTCCTCATCCAAACCCTAGAGAGCAATGATCATAGAAAAGGACTTCTCCGCAAAAGACTTAGCATAATGTCTTTCAATAGTTGGAGATCAAAAAATGTTTTTTTCTATTAAAAGTAACACAAGCTCATTCTAGAAAACTAAATATAGAGAAATATAAAGAAAATAAAGACAGCCAAAATTCCACCAAAGATTACTGGGTCACTGTTTTGCTAAACAGATAACTATGGCATATCTATAAACGGATATACATAGCAGTGTGCTTTTCTGTTCACTTATTGTTTTCATGTTTCCACAGCAATAAACATATACAGCTAGCCCTCCGTATCCATGGGTTCTGCATCCAAAGATTCAACAAACCACACATCAAAAATATTCAGAATAAAACAATTTTTTAAAATATAATTTTAAAAAGAATAGCAATAACAACTATTTACATATCATTTATTTTATTTTATTTTTATTTATTTATTTATTTTTTTGAGACAGAGTCTCGCTCTGTCACCCAGGCTGGAGTGCAGTGGCACGATCTCGGCTCACTGCAAGCTCCGCCTCCTGGGTTCATGCCATTCTCCTGCCTCAGCCTCCCAAGTAGCTGGGACTACTGGCACCCGTCACCACGCCCAGCTAATTTTTTGTATTTTTAGTAGAGATGGAGTTTCACTGTGTTAGCCAGGATGGTCTCAATCTCCTGACCTCGTGATCTGCCCACCTCAGCCTCCCAAAGTGCTGGGATTACAGGCGTGAGCCACCGCACCCAGCCTATATATCATTTATATTTTTAAAGTATTTCGGAGGATGTGCATAGGTTATATGCAAATACTACACCATTTTATAGAAGGGCCTTAAGCATTAGTGAATTCTGGTATAACTGGGGGTCTTGGAACTCATCCCCATGGATATTGAGGGAAGACTATACATGTACCATCATTTTGAATGGCACCATGATATCACACTGTACGGATACACAACATAAGAATGGGTATTTTGGTGTCTACAGTTTTTCAATACAAAAACAATACCAAAAAGGAGGCCATAACGACACTGTTGAATACATTATTTTTATTTATTATTTTTTTTGAGACGAAGTCTCACTCTGTCACCCAGGCTGGAGTGCAGTGGCACAATCTGCACCCTGCAATCCGCACACACGGCAACCTCCGCACCCCCCGGTTCAAGTGATTCTCCTGCCTCAGCCTCCCAAGTAGCTGGCATTACATGCAGCCACCACTATGCCCCGCCAATTTTTTTTTTTTTTTTTTTTTGAGACAGAGTCTTGCTCTGTTGCCCAGGCTGGAGTGCAGTGGCGCCATCTCGGCTCACTGCAAGCTCCGCCTCACAGATTCATGCCATTCTCCTGCCTCACCCTCCCAAGTAGCTAGAACTGCAGGCGTCTGCCACCTTGCCCAGCTAATGTTTTGTATTTTTAGCAGAGATGGGGTTTCACCGTGTTAGCCAGGATGGTCTCTATCTCCTGACCTCGTGATCCGCCCGCCTCGGCCTCCCAAAGTGCTGGGATTACAGGCATGAGCCACTGTGCCCAGGTGGTGAATACATTATCTTTACATGCCTTTTCGTGTGATAAAGTCCCACAGAATGACTTGCTGGGCCAAAGTATATAAATACATACATACATCTATGCATTTCAAAGTCCAACTCATTTCCTCAGACGCCCATTAGATGGCTACACCAACTGAAATTCCCAGCAGCAGCGTGTTCATGGAGTGCGGCTTTACGCGCATTTGAAGAACCAGCTTAGGTTCATCTTGTTACAATACAGGCTCTATTTCTTTGGTCTGGGGTGCGGCCTGGGAGTCTGCATTTCTAACACATACCTGTGTGCCACCAATCTTGCTGACCCATGCAGCAAACTTTAAATGGGAAGGCATGAAAATACCTTTTTCCCTCCCCACCCACCAGATGCCCTCAGTCTTGTCTTATAAGATGACGATGACAATTTTATTCACAGTTGGTGGTTGCTGGGCAGGCCACGTGTCTGTTTTGTACATTTATAAGCCACCTATGTCCATTTTTATGAACTGATTATTCACTTCCTTTGTCTACTTTCTACTGCCCTTCTTATAAAGATTTAAGAACTTTTTAAAAAGACACCTGTGTGAACAGTTCCAGTCTCCTGAACAGCTGGCTGAGACAGGATCTGCCGCAGTTTATCCTGGTGGGAGAACAGCGCCCGACCTGCTTTCAGGATGTATAGCTTCAACTGCTGGCACCGCAGCAGGTCCAGGTCCACTTGTCCTGCGGAAGGAAAGACTCAGTGAGAAGGGCGTGCCCTGCTCAGACTCCCTCCTCGCCAGCAGCAAGCCTCCGCCACATGGCGACGAGTAACGCTCTGCCCTTCAGGAATCTGCCGACCGCACACACTGTCCGTGACGAAGGGCTTGCCTTTCCCAGAGTTACACTCGGTGCTTCTGGGTAAGCATCTTCTGCCTCCTGGGTCTTCCTTCCCTGCTCTCCAGGCACCTAACTTGATAGGACGCAGGATTCAATGGGTTTAACACGGTTAGAACCATGTTAGCTACTATTAATATGATCAAATGTTCCCCAAGTTGCTGAAGTTTCAGCCGCTTCCACTCTTCTTCTAAGACTCCTCTGAGAGAATCTGTCAGCCCCACTAGCTCTTTAACTGATGAAGATCGCAGCAATGCCCAAGGCTTATCTGATAGCAGAGGCCGCAGAAGCAGCACAGAGAGCATGGGGTGGGAAGGAAGGAGGGCCGCAGGTGCTGCTCGGACACTGGCTCAACTAACTGGCAGACAGTTTTATTCACCACGATGGGAAACGGCAGCTACTAGAGAAAGCCAGCCAGCTGAATTTCGGACATCTGATGATTTGCATGCACTGCACCTCCAACCAGAGATGTGAATGGGAGATCCAGAGTTGAAAGTGCTTACATCATATATGCTGAAGCAGCAATCGTAGGTCTGTGGGAGCAAGAGGGGAGAAAACTCAAGAAGACTGGGCAGAATATGCCATAGTTATGGGTGAAACCACACAGACTTCCAGGACATAAAGAATGAGCAGAGAGAAGAGCTCCCTAGAAACATGGAAACAAACTCAGGAGAGCCGCATTCTAGACCTGAAGGAAGGCAAAGCCAAGCCAGGCTACAGTCACAGTCTTAGCCATCCTGAATGTCACAGGCAAGCCAGGCGCTTCCGGGACAGAGGCCCCTGGATCCGGCAGAGAACAGGCTGTGAGCCATGGTCCAACAGGGTGACGGGGCCACAGGGCCCTGGGATGGAGGGGAGGAGGGAAGAGGTGAACAGACTTCTCTTCCGGGATAAAGGGTGACACGGAGAAGAGGGTGTGAGCCATGGGGTTCTTCAAGTGTGGCTCCGAACATGGCGACAAAGGCTGACTCGAAAATACTCATTACCACGAACACAGGGTTACATTCCCAACCGCAACTCAACAAATGGTGAGCCCACGTG
The DNA here is from genome assembly GCF_000001405.40 of Homo sapiens. Lineage (NCBI taxonomy): Eukaryota > Metazoa > Chordata > Mammalia > Primates > Hominidae > Homo > Homo sapiens. The sequence goes on from NC_000015.10 coordinate 20,437,187, forward strand.
AACCCCAGGACTTTAGTACGTCCGTGAATTCACTCATAAAAGAACACTGTACAAACGACACGAGTTTAAGACGGCAGCTATTTCATCAAGAAGCGCCATGTACTGACCTGCAAAGGCCTGTTTAGTCGATTTCTTTATTTTGTGCTTTTCTAACTTGCTTCCAGCGAGGTTCACCAACTGAGCCCAGACAGACAGCATGGGCTCTGTGAAGGGCAGGTTGTTCACATTAAAGGCCACGGCAGGGAGCTGGAGAGGACACAGAAGCTGTCAGAGTGTGGCCAATATGACTAACAAATGAAACGTTCTGAAAGTCATCAAAACCATGGGCTTAATCCTGAAATGCCACACATACCCGTAAGCCTTTTTATAGCTGAGAATAATCATTTTTTAAAATGACATTAAAGGCAGGATAGAGATTTACACATATAATAAGTATAATCTATATTAATTTTTCTTTACAAACCTGTCAACAATAATTACATCAGTGTGGTGGTTACTATCTTCTCAGATATTTTCTATATACTTCAAGTTTTCTACAACATGTATATATTCCTATAATAATAAAAAAGAGTACTTTATAGAAAATATAGTCAGGCCGGGCACGGTGGCTCACGCCTGTAATCCCAGCACTTTGGGAGGCCAAGGCGGGCGGATCACCTGAGGTCAGGAGTTTGAGACCAGCCCGGCCAACATAGTGAAACCCCATCTCTACTAAAAATACAAAATTAGCCAGGCGTGGTGGCACACACCGTAATCCCAGCCACTCAGGAGGCTGAGGCAGGAGAATCGCTTGAACCCGGGAGGCAAAGGTTGCAGAGGGCCGACAACATTGTGCCATTGCACTCCAGCCTGGGTGACAAGAGCAAGACTCCATCTCAAAATAAAAAAGAAAAAGAATATATAGTAAGATTGCACTTGGGCTACATGAAAATAATGTAAATGGCTCCTTCTCCCTGTGCATCCTTGATTCACAGATTAAGATGACAGTAGCTGCTACATTAAGTCACGTCACTCAAAACTACTAAGCATTTTCTACATGAAGAAAGGCTGTTTTTTTAAAGGTGTTTAAACATGTTTGTTTTTTTAAAACTTGAGTTGTTGAATAAAAAGTAAACTTCATAAATTCACATTTTAAAATAATTAGAACTACCTCATAGATGCACGGTACCTTCTAGGTTGCTAAAGCCCTCTTCGTGTCTCTGAGGCTGAAATACACACGAACCACTGCTTTAAGTGCCCTGTGAGACAGGCCCTGCTTACCACAGAAGCACAAGCTCACACAGCTTCCTGGAAGGCAAACTTCAAGTACCAGAATCAAGTTCTTTCAAGTGCTGATGTTGGTGCTCGGTTCTAGTGTAAAGTCAATTTCCCTTATCATGCAGTAACTAAGCACAAGTTCACCTACTGGTTTCAGCTGATTCAATGGGCAAACGTGACACGTCCGCATGTCAGAGAACTGCACGGTGATTTTGCCCTTCAGGGTGATGCGAGTCATGGTGACTTCTCCAAAGTCATCGTGCACAACTTGGCCGCCCAGGCACAGGCGACCATCGATGCCTCCAACCACAGCCAGGACCGCCATGAGGCCCCCCACTTCAGGGTTCTCGGAATCAGGGAAGTAGTCCTCTAACTGGGCCTAGTGCAGACCAAACAGCGAGCTCGACCGGGGACACTCACGGAGCTGCCCAATCCCTACAGGTTTACTGTTCAACTAAATTAATTCTGAGAACACAAACCCACCCCTTTGGAAGGCCTTCCCGCAAAGCTGTGGGTGATGGAGCGGAGCTGGGAGTTGATGTACTTGTTGATGAGCCCATTCCACTGAGTCAGGGAGTGCAGCGTGTGCAGCAGTGCCACCACCTCCTCCGCCAGTGTGCTGCTGTGGGTGGCAGTCAGCGAGGCCTGCGGGCACACCCTGCGCCGCCTCAGCGTGGACTCTGAGGAGGAAACCAGGGGAGAAGCTGCTGCACCACTCTTCACCAGGGCACAGGGAAGGGAGACGGCCACTCACCTCTGAGTGACGGCACTGCGCCGCTCTTCACCAGGACACAGGGAAGGGAGATGGCCACCCACCTCTGAGTGATGGCACTACACGGCTCTTCACCAGGACACAGGGAAGGGAGACGGCCACCCACCTCTGAGTGACGGCACTGCACCGCTCTTCACCAGGGTACAGGGAAGGGAGACGGCCACCCACCTCTGAGTGATGGCACTACACGGCTCTTCACCAGGACACAGGGAAGGGAGACGGCCACCCACCTCTGAGTGACGGCACTGCACCGCTCTTCACCAGGGTACAGGGAAGGGAGACGGCCACCCACCTCTGAGTAACGGCACGTCAGAGGAGCACATAGTGAGCAAGCTCCCCAAGAAGTCAAACAGCTTCTCCATGAGGCATTTCATGTCCCTCGCCCTTTCGGTCTTGTCCCATGACGGAAGGACTGCTTGCAACAAATGCACAGCTAAGATCTGATAAAAGAAAATTTAAAATGACAAGCATTAAAAAAAATCTGATGAGGAAACTACAGATTGTTATTTTCTTTTTTTTTTTTTTTTTTGAGACAGAGTCTCGCACTGTCGCCCAGGCTGGAGTGCAGTGGCACGGTCTTGGCTCACTACAACCACCACCTCCCAGGTTCAAGCGATTCTCCTTGCTTCAGCTTCCTGAGTAGCTGGGATTATAGGCACTCACCACCAAGCCCGGCTCATTTTTTTTGGATTTTCAGTAGAGACAGGATTTCACTATGTTGGCCAGGCTGGTCTCAAACTCCTGACCTCATGATACACCTGCCTCTGCCTCCCAAAGTGCTGGGATTACAGGCATGAGCCACTGCGCCCAGCCTCTCTTTATTTTCTGTTCTCATAATGCAAGTAATCATGTGAAAATTTTGAGATTCATTATTTTACAGCCAGGTAATTACACTCAAGTTGATTAGTGATTAGGATTGTCAGGGACTTTAGAAAAAAGCAACATTACAGATGCATGTGTTTAATTAAAAAAGAATTATTTTTAGTTTAATTCTTAAGACAATTACACTACAAATTCTGTGAAGCAGATGAGTAAGTAGTTGCAGGATTTACCACTTAAGAGAAAAGCAGGTAAACTGAAGGTTAGCAACTTACCAATTATCAAGGACCTCTGCCCCTTGCCTCCAGAAAATCTACCCTGTCACTTCTAGACCCTTTCTGCACTCGTTACGGAATAAAGGCCCCTGACTCTGAGGGCAGGGAACTTCAGTACATGGAGGCCTCTCTCAGGGAACTGGTTTTGCCTGGCAGCACATTACCTGCCTCTGCAGCGAGGTGGCAGTGAAGGGTGCGTGCCCTTCCACGACCTTCATGAGCAGCGTGATCCACTGCAGGGAGCTGAGGGTGCCGCACACCTGCAGCGTGAGAGCGATGCTCTGCACAAACCCCAGCGTGCACCAGCTCCGGTGTTGCTCCCTGTACACCAGCCTGTTTGGAGAAGCGGCGGGAGGGAAAATAGACATGCTTGGTAACAAGTCCCTAAAGACAAATCCCTAAAGATATATCCTTATTTTTTTATCAACTTATTTTCTACAATAAGCTCCTTTAAAATATATTGCAGTTTGTAAATTAATTCAAACTAATTCAAAGTGAGAAGTGGAAGGCGGCTTTTAAGTTAGTTCAAGAAACATTTCCGAAGTTTTCTTTTTTTTTGTTTTTTTTAGAGATGGGCCCTCACTATGTTGCCCAGGCTGGTCTAAAACTCCTGGGCTCAAGTGATTCTCCTGCCTTGCCCTGCCGAATAGCTGGGACTACAGACATTTTTAAAACCTTCTAAATATGTGTCGTAAAAGTAGTTAGGGAATTTTAGCTATGTATTGTTTCTAGGCAATAGGAAAATGATCTATAATTCAAATAGTAATTTGCAACAGTGCATCTATTATATTTTTAATTTCGTGTTTTAAATATCTCCACAATCTTGGTTATATTTAATCTGCACCACTTAAATACTCTTTTTGTAATTTTAGTAGAGACAGTTTCCAATCCAAGTTTAATGCATCTGCATTAACAAAATGAGTTTTTCACTAGGTTTACACCACTGGATTCTGGCACCAGTGGGCCCACCTCTGCTCCGCCTGGCTCCAGGACTCCACTACTCCCTGAATGGAAGCTGAGGCTTGGAGGCTGGGCCCCCTGAGGGACCCCGCCCACAGCCCCACAGGACCTGCTCTCCCTCCCACCTCCCCCACCCTGCCCTCAGCTATCCAAGCTTATGAGGACAACTGCCTTCCTTCAGCACACTCACATGCGCTCACACACACACACACTCACTCTCACACCCTCATATGCATCCTCACACTCACACTGATACTAAGTTATTCAGACACACTCATGGGCACTCATACACCCACCCTCACACTTTCAGGTGCACTCACACCACTGTCGCAATCACACACACACAATCCCAGTCACACGTATGCACAAACAGATGCAAGCTGACACACACTCCCATGCACTCTCACATACACTTACCCCTCCCAATGCATACAAAAACTCACATATGCACTCACACTCCTCAACACTAGTAATGACCGATTACTCACCCACTCACACCTTTACCCACACACTTTCTCACTTTACACTCACACCTATACTGTTATAACCTCCCATTCACTGACACAAGCAAAATGCTCACATTCACTCACACGCATTCACAATAACATCACTCGTGCTCACACTGACACAAGGCACTCATACATTTACACAAATGCTCACACTCAATCGCACACTTACACTTGTGCCTGCCACCCACTCATACTTCCTCACACTCACCAACCCTCACTGACTTACACTTACACTGGGTGTCTCATTTGCACACCCAGTAATCCCCTCACACTCACACTCATGCCTCCCTCGTGCTCACCCTCACACACACACATTGGCTCAATGCACCGACGCTTTCACTCCCACTTCACCTGAATGTAGTCACCTGCCCACTCACATGCTCTCATGGACATACACACACCCACACAACCACATGCTACAAACACACCATCACACTTGCAACACAAACGCTCAGCCACTTGCCCATCGACCGCTAACACACTCACTCTCATCAATATGTGCGGACGCTCCAGCACACCACTAATACACGCATGCTCTCACACACACTGGAGGACGCCCACATACCCACCCACACTCACATGTGCTCACTCTCAGTCACATGCACACTCACCCCACTCCCTCAGCTCACATTTCTCATACTTACTCTCCACACACACAAACACTTTATGGATTAAACTGTGCCTGTCCTCCAACTTCACATACATTCGGAACCTCAGAATATGATCTTATTTAATGAGGTCTCTGTAGACGTCATTAAGGTAAGAATTTAGGTGACATCATGTTGGATTAGAGTCAAAGAAACTCAATGAAAGAGTCCTTTCAGAGACAGAAAAGGACATGCAGAACACAGGGGCAGGGGCCATGTGAAGACGCAGGCAGAGACTGGCACAATGCGTCCCAACACCAAGGAAGCCTGGAGCTCCCAGAAGCTGGACAAAGTAAGGAAGGACCTTCCCCTAGAGCCTGTGGAAGAAGCATGGCCCTGCCCGCACCTGGATTTGGGACTTCTGGTCTCCAGAACTCTGAGAGAACAAATTTGTTGTTTGAAGCCAGTGTTACGGGTTGAATTCAGAATTGCAAAATTCGTATGTTGAAGCCCTAACCCCTACCGTACCTCGGCAGGTGACCTTGTTTGGAAATAGGGTCGCTGCAGATGTAATCAGTTTGATGAGGTTGAATGATGTCCTCATGAAAAGGGGAGATTTGGAGGCGACTCACACACAGGGAGAATGCCATGTGAAGATGACGGCAGAGATAGGGGTGACACCTCTACAAGCCGAGGAACGCTAAAGAGACCAGTAAACTCCAGAAGCTGGGGCAGAGCCCTGAAGCAGCTTCTCCCTCACAGCCCCAGAAGGAACTACCCTTGATCTCAGCCTTCCAGCCACCAGAACCGTGAGAATTTCTACTGTGTAAGTCCCCAAGTTTGTATACTTTGTTACAGCAGCCACAGGAAAGGAATCCACACACATCCACACCCACCCACATGCACACCCAGACACGACAAGCGTGCGGCCCCCAGCGCTGACTCCCTGGGCCCTCGATCTCTCATTCCATACATGTCTTGTCCGTCATTCCGCTTTCCACTAACATTTGCAGCAGTCCGCATAAAGTCTTGGTGGCTTCACTCTGCATGATCTCAGCATGAACTCCAGCAGACAGACAAAGAGTCTGCAGTAAGTTAATAGTGCTGGTAAACATCATTGCAGTGGGGTGAATGTTCCTTTCAGTTTGTTCGGCTTCTAAAAAAAATAATCAAAATTACAAATTATATTGGCAGCCCCAGCCTCTTGGATGGTCTTACCAAGCCCAACCATGTGAAGCTTCACGTGTTTTAGGAACAGCTAAGAAATGTCACGAAACCTCCTCCCACAACCTGGATCTCCACAGATAGGATCTAGCTTTCTTGGTCCACCCCTAAATTCTCACCTCTGCTTCCCTAGAAGCGATAAAGTGCTGACTAACTCCACATTACATGAAGAGTTCAGAGTCAGGGACCACAGAGGAAAGGTAAAGGCAGGTGGCAGGTGGGGTGTGCTTGGGCAGGGGCTCTCACTGGAGGAGGACGCGATGGACCGAGACCGCAGGGCAATTCCACCAGGCCTCGGCTCACTCGCTCAGATGCAGGCTCAGCACCAACCACATGAGACTCACTGGTGATGCAGCTGCCCCCACCTGGCCACCACATTCTCAAAGAGGGGCGGGTGCACACATGAGAGGAAAATGCAGAAAGTCAGTTCCAGCCAGATCGCCGGATCCCACAGTCACTCCACACACCTGCATCGGAGGTGCCTGGGAGCTTATTTAAATTACAGGTTCCGAGGACAGAGCGCCAGCTGCAGGTGTGTCCTGACATCCCATTCTAAGGCCCAGATGGCAGTGGCAGCACCCAGCAACTGGACAGTTTGTAGGCTGCCTTGGACTAAACACCTTCCTGAGTCACCCACCAGAGTCGTCCTCTGTGTCCGAATCCTCTGCTGAGGGCTGTGCAGGGGCTGGCAGCTCTGCCAGCTTGAGGTCGTAATTTCCTTCTTTCCCCATCCTGTAGGAGTTGGTGCTGCCTGTGTCCCACTGGACTCTTATCCACCCGTCCTCTCCCAGCTCACCAATCACTCGGCCTAGGCCTGGAGGAGGCCTATCCTGAGAAAGCCAAAGTAGAGATCAGTTAGGAGGGTGCGTAACCTGCCCTGGTCCTTCCATGGCTCCCAGCAGACCTCAGTTAGGAGGGTGTGTGCCCTGCCCTGGTCCTTCCATGGCTCCCAGCAGACCTCAGTTAGGAGGGTGCGTGCCCTGCCCTGGTCCTTCCATGGCTCCCAGCAGACCTCAGTTAGGAGGGTGTGTGCCCTGCCCTGGTCCTTCCATAGCTCCCACCAGACCTCAGTTAGGAGGGTGCGTGCCCTGCCCTGGTCCTTCCATGGCTCCCAGCAGACCTCAGTTAGGAGGGTGCCTGCCCTGACCTGGTCCTTCCATGGCTCCCACCAGACCTCAGTTAGGAGGGTGCGTGCCCTGCCCTGGTCCTTCCATGGCTCCCACCAGACCTCAGTTAGGAGGGTGCGTGCCCTGCCCTGGTCCTTCCATGGCTCCCACCAGACCTGCCACACAGATGTCGCCATATGCCACCCTGTCTGTCAGGGGCTGTCCCCAGACACAGATTTCACCTCTCCTACAAAATGTGTGCTTGCATCATTTTAAATTAAATGGCATAAAATAACGTGCTCATGCTGCTTTACCAAGGAAGTCGGGGAAATCTCATCTCAATGAGGATCCTCTGAGTCAATGCAGAGACAGGGCTTTGCAGCAAGTCCTGTCCCCACAATCCCTCACGGGCCTTGCAAGAGCGGAAACCTGAAACAAGCACCAGCACCTCCACATTCCCTTTGCTTCAGTTTCCCCTGGGCCCCAGGGGGAAGCTCTGTCTCTCACTTCTGCAGGAGAAAGCTGTTTCTAGGATGGATGCTGTCTCCAGACACTGCTATTTCTAAGATGACTGTGACAAAGCCAGGGCTTACCAGCGTGGCTGAGAAAAGCCAGACAGACCATGGGAAGGTGAACACTGCCCTAACTTAGCTAGGGCTGTGGTAAGTGACTTCCACCTGGGGGCACCTGGCAGAGATTTAGAAGAGATCTGCGATGAGGGAAGATGGAAACGTGGCCACAGGCCCATGAAGTAGATCCCTAACTACTGGCTTCAGGGCACTTCGCAGCACATGGCCATCAGCCCACAGGGGCAGCATCTGGGCTTCCTGCCTCAGAGCCTTCACTACACCAACTTTCAGAATGAGATTTACTCTCTTGCTCACTCTCACACTCTTGTTCCAGTGACCCATCAAACTGAGCCTCATGCCAGTGAGTTTCCTGAAAAGAGCTGCCTCTCTTTCCAGACTTGATTCTGCTCAGATGCCCTACTTATGATTCCCTGTTTGTGTTCACTCCCTTCAGCTGCTCGGGAACCAACACCTGTGTCATCGATCAACTGACACATCCTGGATTATTCCAATTTCCACCCACCAATATCGTACAGAACTATGCAGAAGATAACTAATGTGTGGCTAATGTGTTCACATCAAATCTCTGAGTACCTGATCGCCCCATTTCCAGTCCACACCTCTCATGACCCTTGTTCCAATCTTCATCATGGCAGCCAGTTCTGGCCCTGAAACAGGGAGCTGCACAGGAGCCGTTTCCTTCCTTGTTTCTTCCAAAACTGTGGCAGAAGCACCTTGAGCAGAAGCATTCATATCTTCCTCAACGCTGTCACAACTGGGGCCTGACGGAGCATCAAAAACAATAGCTGAGCCAACAAGTAGCTACAGTGTCCCCTTAATACACACAAAACATTCACAAAGTACTAATGAAGATCGTAATTTTGAACAATCCATACTATATGTTTTATCAATATAATATTATGAATATTTTACTGATATAGGATAAAAAGAAGATAAACGGAAGGATGAAATACATAAATATCCTAGGAAGATATAAAAGATATTAAAATGCTCAGTAAAGCTACTTTCTCTACTTCTAGGAATTACTCCCCTGAAAAAAGCAAAATAACTGAGTTAGAAAGATCCTCATCACATTTTTTATTAATAGAAAAACAAAGATAACTACCTAAATATCTAACAGTGGGAAACTAACAAACTTTAATCATGGTTCTGTGCAGAAGACAGCTAACAGCTGGCCCGAGATACAACCTCAGACAGGGTTGCTGCAGGCTGGCCCTCAGCTGGAGTCTGGATCTCAGGAGGGCTCCCCCATTCCCTAGGTGGTAGGTGTGGTTCCCTGTGCCTGAACTGTCTGTACAAACAATGTGGTCTGTGCTGAAACCTGCTTTCCTTAGTCTGGAACTTGGTACACGCCAGGCAGGGGGTGCCCGTGTGATCAGTCCTGATGGAAACCATGGGCCTGGAGTCTCTACCCAGCTTCCCGGCAGACAGCACTTGACACGGCTCGGTGCCAGGGCAGTTAAGCTCGTCCTGTGTGGATCCTGTGGAAGCTTGTACCTGCTTTCCTCTGGACTTTACCCATGTCCTTTTTCATGATTTTGCTCTGTGTCCCTTCACTGTAATAAACTATAGCCCTGAGTACAACTACATGCTGAGTCTTGTGAGTCCTCCTGGCCAACCATCAAACCTGGGGGTGGTCTTGGAGACCCCTGACAATTGGTGCCCTGGGTGGCTACAGAGTCATCCATAGCACAAAACAGAAGCCGAGCTGCTGTCACCTGAGAGAAGTAAAACTTCCCAATGGATCTGAAAATAGGAGCGCTAACCCTAGGAGAGTAGGCTAGATTTTTAACCCCCCTTTTCCCACTTGCTAAACTGAGAGGGGGTAGGAGTGTGGTTCTGGTAACTCCCTTGATTTTAGTTTTCTCCTCCAGGTGGGAGGGAAAAAGATCCAAACAGTCCCAAAGGTGGGCTGGGGTGGACCAAAAAATGTAAAAAGTTTGTGTTTCTCTCTCTTCCAAGAGAACAAAAAAGGATATTCAATTCCCAGGGCTGGAGCAAAACTTTAGATAAACTAGCAGGAGAAACAGCCTTTCCTTTAGCCTAGCCGCTACTTTAGGGCCCCCAGGAAGGGGCCCCAAGGAAGGGACAGGAGTTGCATTCCAGGTGGATCTCCCAGGATCCCCTGGGCAGCTATACTGTTAACTCTGTAAAGACTGAATTTATTGCTAAGGGCTTGAATAAATTTGCAACCAAAACCGGGGGGAATTTTTTTTTATTTTACATAGCTTTATGTTTTGTGGCTGTTACATGTGGATGTATACATTAAGCTGGTATAAAATATTATATGTTTATAATTTCTTAAATGATAAGAAGGATACCCTGATCAGGGCAAGCTGCAAATATAGACGGATATTCATGAGACACAACTTCCTTGCTTTTTGCAGCCAGTGGGCCAGATGAAATTTAAACACATGAATATTATCAACAGAACAAGTCCCCATACTTAATGATTTGTGCTGTGATTTTTACTTATTGGAACCTCTGGGGGAAAAGTAGACAACATAAAAAGGCCATTTCTCGATGGAGATATGCTTTTGTAATTTTTAAATGCAACTTTTGGTTGCTAATGAGGCCTCAGGAAATCAGATATAACCCTTACTAGATGATTCTTTTCAGCTGTAATACACATATTAAAATATATATTTAACATAATACAACATATAAACATAATATATAAATTAAAAAATAATTATATATATATATATATAGAGAGAGAGAGAGACAGACAGACAGACAGATAGATAGAAAGATTCCACCCACCCCCAAGACAGGATTTCACTCTGTCACCAAGGCTGGAGCCCAGGCTGGAGTGCAGTGGCTTGATCTCCGCTCACTGCAACCTCTGCATCCCTGGCTCAAGCAATCCTCCCACCTCAGCCTCCCAGGTAGCTGGGACCACAGGCACACACCACTATGCCCAGCTAATTTTCGTATTTTTTGTAGAGAGAGGGTTTCGCTATGTTGCCCAAGTTGGTCTCAAACTCCTGAGCTCAAGCAATCCACCCGCCTGAGCCTCCCAAAGTGCTACAATTACAGCCTGGCCTGATACATATTTTTGAATGGATTAATGTGAACTCTAAAACTGATGTGATTATAAGAGCTTGGGAAAACCTTGCTTTTTCACTGTGACTTTGACAACTGGCCCTGCAGCATCTCAGTTTTAGCCAAAGAACACCACCATAAACCAATCAGACCTAATAGACATATACAGAACATTTCACCAAAAAGAGCAGAATACACGTTCTTCTCAAGTATACCACAGGACTACTCTCTTAGACTGACCAAACCATATGTTAGGCCACAAAGTCTCAAATTTAAACAGACGAAAATCATACAAGTTACCTTCTCCAACCAAAAGGAAATGATGAGAAATTAATAACAAAAGGAAAAGTGGAAAATTCACAAGTATATGAAAATTAAACAACACATGGTAAACAATCAGTGGGTCAAAGAAGAAATCACAAGGGAAATTAGAAAATACTATGAGATGAATGAAAACACAACACACCAAAACTTCTGTGCTGGGCCAAAAGCAGGGCTAAAAGGGGCAATTATACTATAAAAGTCTGCATTTACAAAAGATGATCTCAAATCAATAACTCTACATCTGGAAGAACTAAAAAAATAAGAACACAATAAAAACCAAAGTTAGGCCAGGTGTCGTGCCTCACACCTGTAATCCCAGCACTTTGGGAGGCTGAGGCAGGTAGATAACTTGAGCCCAGGAGGTTGAGGCTGCAGTGAGCCATGAGTGCGCCACTGTACTTGGGCCTGAGGGACAAAGTAAGACCCTGTCTCAAAACAAAGACAAAAACAAAAACAAAAAAATACAAAGCAGAAAGAAGGAAACGATAGAGATTAGAGCAGCCATAAATTAAATAGAGAATAGAAAAATAATCTACAAAACCAAAAGTTCGGTTTCTGGCAAGAACAAAAAATCTGACAAACTTTTGGTAAATTAAGAAAAAAAGAGGTCAGTCAAGGTGGCTCACGCCTCTAATCCCAGCACTTTGGGAAGCTGAGGTGGGCGGATCACAAGGTCAAGAGATTTAGATCATCCTGGTCAACATGGTGAAACCCCATCTCCACTAAAAATACAAAAAAAATTAGCCAGGCCTGGCGGCAGGCGCCTGTAGTCCCAGCTTACTTGGGAGGCTGAGGCAGGAGAATCACTTGAATCCGGGAGGCGGAGGTTGCAGTGAGCCAAGACTGTGTCACTGCACTCTGGCCTGGCAACAGAGTGAGACTCCATCTCAAAAAAAAAAAAAAAAAAAAAAAAGAAAAAAAAGAGAAAAGATGCAAATAACTAACATCAGAAATGTAAGTGGAGACAGTACTACCAACATAAAAATAAAAAAGATTATAAAAGAACACTGTGAACAACTGTATGCCAACAAATAAAATAGCCTAGATAAAATGGACACATTCCTAGAAACATAAATTACCCAAACTGACTCAAGAAGAAATAGAAAATCTGAATAGAGCCATAACAAGTAAAGAGATTGAATCGGTAATTAAAAATCTTTCAGGCCAGGCGCCGTGGCTCACGCCTGTAATCCCAGCACTTTGGGAGGCCGAGGCGGGTGGATCACGAGGTCAGGAAATCGAGAGCATCCTGGCTAACACAGTGAAACCCCGTCTCTACTAAAAATACAAAAAATTAGCCGGGCGTGGTGGCTGGCGACTATAATCCCAGCTACTCAGGAGGCTAAGGAAGGAGAATGGCGTGAACCCGGGAGGCGGAGCTTGCAGTGGGCCGAGATCACGCCACTGCAGTCCAGCCCGGGCAACAGTGTGAGACTCCGTCTCAAAGAAAAAAAAAAAAAAATCTTTCAACAAAGAAAAGCTTAGGTGGTCAACTCTACCAAACATTTAAAGCTGAACTGACACCAATCCTCAAACTCTTCTAAAAACAGAATATATGGGAACACTACCTAGTTCATTCTATGAGGCCATTATTACCCTGATAACTGTAAAACAATAAAATATTGCTGAAAGAAATTAAAGAGGACAGAAATAAATGGAAAGACATTCCACATTCAGAGAATGGATGTTAACATTGTTAAAATGGCACTATTCCCCAAAACAATCTACAGATTCAATCCCTAGCAAAAATCCCAATGGTCTTTTTTTGCAGATATGGAAAAGCCAGCCTTGAAGTTCATGTGAAAATGCAAGGGACCCAAAGTAGCCAAAATCATCTTGAGAAAGAAAACACACTTCTCAATTTTAAAACAGTACAAAACTACAATGTTCAAAACAGGGCGGTACCTGCACAATTATCAACATATAGAATGTGATAATGTAATTGAGAGTCCAGAAATAAACCTAAATATCCACAGCCAACTGATTTTTGCCAAGGGTACCCAGAACTTCAGGGAAAGAACAGTCCTCAACAAGTGGTATTGAAACAATCAGATCAACAAAAGAAAAAGGCTGGACTCTTACCTCACACTGTGTAAAAGAAATTACCTAAAAATGGACCAAAGATCTAAATATAAGAGCTGAAACTATAAAACTTACAGAAGAAAACATGAGGATAATCTTCATCAACCTTGTGTTTGGAAATGGCTTTTTGGATATGATATCAAAAGCATAGACGACAAAAGAGAAACAGATAAATTGAACTTCATCAAAATAAAAAACTTCTCTATCTAAGGGAATACAATCCAGAGAACAGGAGAAAATACCCTCAAATGATATACCTGATAAAGGTCTACAGATCTGTGAAGGTCTAGTATACACGAACTTTTTAAAGAGTCTGAGGACTGGTGTTAATTCTTCTTTAAAGGTTTGATACACTTATATAGTGCATTTATTGGTACAACAAGATGACGACAAATAACCCTATTTAAAAAGGAGAAAGGGGCTGGGCGCAGTGGCTCACGCCTGTTATCCCAGCACTCTGGGAGGCCAAGGCAGGCAGATCACCTGAGGTCAGGAGTTCCAGACCAGCCTGGCCAACATGGCGAAATCCCATCTCTACTAAAAATACAAAAGTTAGCCAGGTGTGGTGGTGTGTGACTGTAATCCCAGCTACTTGGGAGGCTGAGGCACAAGAAGTGCTTGAACCCGGGAGGCGGAGGTTGCAGTGAGCCGAGATCGTGCCACTGCGCTCCAGCTTGGGCGACAGAGTGAGACTCCGTCTCAAAAAAATAAAATAAAAAATAAAGAGAAAGGGACTTGAATAGACACTTCTCCAAAGAAGATATACAAATGGCCAACAAGCACAAACATGTAAAGAAGCTCAATGTCATTCATCATTAGTGAAATGCAAACCAAAATCACAATGAGATACCACTTCACACCCGCTAGGATGGCCTTAATCCAAAAAAAAAAAGAAAACCACAAAAAATAGTGTTGGCAGGGAAGCAGAGAAACTGGAACCCTGGAATCCTGCCCACTGGTGATGGGAATGTAAAAATGATATGGCACTGTGGAAAACTTTGGTAGTTTCTCAGTAAGTTACACATAGTTGTACCATATGACCCTGTAATTCCAGTCCTAGGTGTATAATCAAAAGAACTAGAAACAAGTGTTCAAACAAGTACTTGTATATAAATGTTCCTAGCAGCACTATTCACAAAAGTCAAAAGGCAAAACCAACCCAAATGTCCATCAACAGATAAATGAGTAAACAAAATGTTATATATTCATACAATGAAATCTTTTTCAGCCATAAAAATAAAGTACTGATATATACCAAATGAAATAACCCAGACACAAAGGCCACAAATGGTATGATTCCATTTATATGAAATATCCGGGATATGCAAATCCATAGACAGAGAAAGCAGATTTGTAACTACCAGGGGCTGGAGAGCAGGGGAGTCAGGACTGATGGCTAAATGGGGTGCATTTATAGTGATGAAAAAGTTCTACAACTAGACAGTGGTGATGACTCTAGAAAATTGTGAATGTATTTAATACCGCTGAATTGCGACGTTAAAATGCTACACTTTCTGCTATTTGTGTCTTACCATAATTTACAAAAAGCTTTTTTTAAAAAAAAGAAAGAAAATAAATCAAAGCAAAATCTTGACGTTTTCCCAAAGGCTCTCAAGCCAGTGCAGACCTACCAATCAGGCGCAGTGCCGTCTGAGCGAGGGCCAGCGTGCCGGAATTGAGCAGGAGGTCAAGGTTGTTTGCGCTGTGCTGCAGGGTGAGCATGCTGAGCATCACCAGGAGGAAGTGGGCTTGCGGGATGGTCCCCAAGCTCGGTCCCGATGGGTTCTCATTGGTGATGGTTTGCAGGGGAACCGGCTGGATACCTAGTGAGCATTGGCACCCACTGACATTTCTTGTAATGGATACAAGAATAAATGTAATGCAGAAAGCACGGGCAATTACTCTAAACATCTGACTAATAAGCACTGACACCCACTGACATTTCTTGTGCGTGGATACAAGAATAAACGTAACGCAGAAAGCATGGGCAATTACTCTAATCATCTGACTATTTTGACACCCACTGACATTTCTCTCGCATGGATACAAGCATAAACGTAATGCAGAAGGCACGGGCGATTACTCTAAACATCTGACTATTTTTCAGTGGTTTCCACAGAGTGGGCAGCTCTGTCATGCTGCACGATGGGCCTACCCCCTGCATTCTATGCACAGGTCGTTCCATCTGTCTACAGGACTTAGTATGTTGCTCTCTGAATACACCGGTGCCCTATTCCATTCCTTCCATTTCAAATATAAAAGTTATGTCTCACTTTTCCTCCACAAAACCAATCCAATCAACTCTCTGTAGATGCTCAAACTATCCAGGAAATAAATATCAATATAGGACACAGACACTTTAGGATATGTGGTGATACACATAAAAATGTCAAAATGTAAAAATGTTATACTAGAGTACTTCAACATTGTGTCTCCTGCTAAATTTTAAAGTTTTGTTTAAAATCTGAGAAAGCTGACAGCAGCATAGACTATACAAGTACAAAGTACAAACTTATTAAAGTCTTCTCAAAAGCAAAAATTGGCATTTGCAAGTTTCCACAACATATAATTAAAGGCAAACTATAAAATAACATTGATACAATTATTGACTCACCAAGCTCTTTAAATTTGGCACTGGCATCCACCAAAACATTTCGAATGTTCTGAACAGCCCAAGCGTACAGCTTGCCAAAGGTGACTTCCAGCAGCATCCGATTAAAAGGCGGGATCAAATCAACATCCTTTAAACAATCAGTAAGAGGTTCCCTTTCAAATAAAGATAAAGAATTTGACTCGGGACACTGCCAGACTTCTAACTGTTACAGAAAAACATTCTGTTGCCACAGCTTCCTTAATTAAGAAAAAAATATGCTAACATTTTACCCTATATCGATTCCCTCAGGAATAAGTCTTTGCCATCCACAAAACATCGCATACGGCACAGATGGAAGTAAGAAATTCTTGCTCACCAGATACAATTTTAAAATTGTATCTATCCCTTCCAGGCGAACCTCTGCTCTCTCCAACTGCAAAATATCAATGCATACAGTTAAGTGTTATGTATATTACCCAATGCAGAGAAGCATTTCTCATCAAATGTTACCTGTTTTAGTAGGCACTTTCTCTTTTCCACATCCACTGGCTCTTCTTTAAGGGCAAATTCAGCAATTGTACTGAGGAGTGGAGACTGCGGATAAAGACCCTGCACATTCTGCTTCAACCACTTGTATTTGTGAACACCTGTAACAGTACTCAACAGCGGCTGCCATTTGTCCTAACAAAGGAAAACAATTTTCATCATTAGTCTACCCTATTTAATAATAAACTGTGCTCTAAAAGTTATTCAAGTAAAATATAAATAATGCTTATGGGTTTAAATTGGTTAAAATACGTTAAATTTAGTAATACATGTTTTTAAAACTATGCTATAAATATAAGTGAATTTATAATCTCTATACTATATGTTGGAACAGGCTAGCTTGGCATACTAAGTTAAGTTATGGTTCATATTAACAGCCACAGGGCCCAGCACTGTTTCTGGAACAAAGAATATATTTAAGGAATGAATGGTGAATAATTAATGATACAATCTAATACCAAAAATAAAAGGAAACCCTTCTCCAGCTACAGCTCTGACCAGGACATCATAAGTCAAGTTCATGAAGCATCACTGGGGCCGTATTTCTAACAACCGCCCGTCCCTCCCTCCAGATGCTCAGGTACAGAGGTACAAGACTGTGGATTCCTGTGCTACATGCTACGATTCTATTCAGCCAACCTCAGAATCACAGAAAATACCGCACCTTGGGTGATTTAATTGCAATGGGTCTCTTGTCCACATTTATTGGACTATGAGGCAAAATGCAAGCTTCTTCTAAATCACTCTCTTCGTTTCCAATTTTTTCTTCATCATCCGTAGATTCTGGCTTCTTAGGAACTGTGTTTTAAAACATCATTCACTATAAAAATCATACACTTAAATATTAATTTTAAATTAAGACATATTTAGATTTACATGAAGGACAAATATTTCATTCAAATAAACATCTGAACAACATTATAAATTGCAATGCTCAACAACAAGAGTGAAATGATCACCCTGGCAGAACAAAAAGACAAAGTGAGAGTGCGACGAGGGGAGAAGCCCCGAAGCAGGGGAAGCCCGGCAGCCAGCAAGCTCTTCCTCAAGTGCCAGAGAGTGAACATTTGAGTCTTTCAGGCCATGCTGTCTGTCGCAAATACTCAACTCTGCTGCTGTAGCACAAAAAGTAACCACAGATAAAGCAACAGGTGTGGCTGTGCTCCTGTAAAACTTTATTTATGGTGCTACAATTTTAGCTTCATGTAATTTTCATGTGCCAAAATAATATACTTCTTTTAATTTTTAAATAACAATTTCAAACTGGAAAAAAAAAAAAAGGTCTTAGTCCATGGGCAACCCAAAGCCAGCAAGAGGTAGAATTTGGCCCATAGTTCCTGGCTTGTCCACCCTGGTCCAGTTCAGTGGTTCTGTTACTGTGTAACTGAATCAACTGAATTCACTGTGATATGTGGAATCTCCTCCCTATACTTTATCTCTTTTAAAATTTTTGGTCTAAGTCTCCTCAGCATATAATATAAAAAATAAGCAACATGATAATACATCTGGGCAGTAAAGAGCTAACATAGCAGGCCGGGGTTGCTCAAACCCTGCAAATTCCCAAGGAAGGTCTGTCCCTTCAGGATTGGTCCTTCTTCTAGGAGCTGAGCTCTGAGCCCTTGGAACATCCTGCCTGAGAAGTTTTTTGGTATACCTGACACCCAGGACCTTGTGGCAGTGGTCTGGCCAGGTAGTTTATGCTAATGATGGGACTTGCGAGGGACCACTTGTTTTTGCACTGGGGCACTGGAGCCTGAGTGAGGTCAGTCACAGGGGCACTGCCTGCGTATGTGACTGGCCCCCAACAAAATCTCTAGACTCGAGGCTCAGGTGCGCTGGCCTGGTTAACAATTCTTCACACATGATGTGACACTATTGCTGGGAGAGCTAAGCACATCCACGTGATGCCACTGGGGAGAGACACCAAAGCGTGTGCCTAGTTTCCTCTGGACTTCCCTCCATGCACCCTTCCCTCTGCTAATTTTAATCTGTATCCTTTTTGCAGTAAAAACACAGCTGTGACTATAACAGCTCTTCTGAGTCCTTTTAGTGAATCATCAAGCCTGAGAGAAGGCTCGGGGATCCCTGACACAGCAACAGGAATATTAATCACTTAATCTTTTCAAGTTACTTAATTTCCAAAAAAAAAAGAAAACCAGCTTGAAACACCACACGATAAATCTATAAACCCACAAGAAACTCTAAAAGTGACAGTGTGGGCTCAGAACCCACGGATATGAGATGGCAAATGTGGAGTCTCTCTCCCTCATTCCGAGGCAGCCTGTCTCCTGGGCCCAGGCTGAGTTCCTGCATGCCTGGGTTAAAGGAATCGCAGCAGTGTGACTGCTGTGACTTCCTGATCCAGAGCACCCCTCGCATTCAGACAGGCTGTTATGGTGTAGGGTTTGTTCAGGAACAATCAAATTAGGATGGCTTCTAACACACTTTAGTCTTTCATAAGCTTATTGTTCAAAATGCCCATCAGAAAGTCAGTAATCAATACTGTTCAATAAGCAGGTTTGTGAGTAAATCAGTATAAGTCATAATATGATCAGAGGCCAGGCGCGGTGGCTCACGCCCGTAATCCCAGCACTTTGGGAGGCCGAGGCAGGCAGATCACGAGGTCAGGAGATCAAGACCATCTTGGCCAACATGGTGAAACTCCGTCTCTACTAAAATATAAAAATTAGCCAGGAGTGGTGGCGCGTGCCTGTAATCCCAGCTACTTGGAAGGCTGAGGCAGGGGAATCGTTTGAACCTGGGAGGCGGAGGTTGCAGTGAGCTGAGATCGCACCACTGCACTCCAGCCTGGCAACAGACCAAGACTCCATCTCAAAGAAAAAAAAAAAAGGATATAATCAGAAATTTCTGTAGTTTATTTATAATCACAAGTGACTAAATTCTAAACTATTTTATAATTTCTAAGCATTTTTATTCAAATTTGGATTTAATGCAAAAAGACTTTTCTGTACCCTTACACAGCTACTTCCAGGAAAATGTCAGTAACTCTTTTAGCTTCCCTTTATAGTTCTTCATGTATCAGAATACTCAATATTTCCAAACAAAAAACATTTCTTTAGAAGAATGGCAATAAGTTTAAATGTTCCCATTATATCTCATTACCAGGATAACTAATAAAAGTACTTCCTTGTTCCCATCAATTTAGCAAAGATTATTTACGTTTTCAACATCAATTTACTAGTAATCAAATCATACCACACTCAATTCCTAAACTGCCTCATTGTCTGATCATTTGGAAAAATAAGCGAGATGTCTGTATTTAATCCTAACTATAATAAAAATGATGGCAGCAGGTAGAAATGTTACATGGAATCAACAGTAGAGAAACTTCACTCTGAAATCACAGATCCAACGTGGCAGGGTGAAGCACAAGCTTTAATAGTATCTTCTGTCCTTTTACATTCTTACCTCTCTTTTTCCTTGGTTCTCGAATTATCTTCTGAGCTATCCTCCTCCAATGGGGCAAAGAACTTAACAATTTAAACTTAGACATTATAGAGAGGTCATTACAAACAGCAGGTCTCAATTCATTAAAGAGGAATCTCAAACGTTCGATGACAGGAGCGCAGACCTCCTTGTAAGAACGGCCCTGTTCTTGATGAGTCTGCAAAGTTAACCAGGAAAAGACAACTTTAACAACAAATATTTCAGCAACTGTCTGCAAAGCACAGAATAAAAAGAATTAAAATCTATCACCTTAATGAGCGAACATTTTGCTTGGTAGACAACTCTACAAACATCCACCACTGACTTAGGCAACGTTCTGTGCTTTACTTGCTCAATACCAAGTGCACCTGCATGAACTAAAGATAATGCCACATGACCTGTAAAAAGACATTTAAAAGAAGGGCAGTGAAGGAATGAATACGTACCACAGGTTAGTCGAGGAATCGCAGTGTAGCTAAAGTACAAAGATATTGAGCTCCTTACCTAAATCTTCATGTTTTAAGAGGCAACATAACAGCAAGCGACCGACCTCTTCCACGGGATGCTCGGGGGGAAACATGATCGGTGTGGTCAAATGGCACTGCCTACAGTACCTTTCTATTTGACACAAAAAGTCCTGCAACAGGAACAGCTGGAAGTAACTTCAGGGAAACCCAGTGAGTCTTCACAAATCTTAAACATGCCACAGCTTCTGACACACTTGCAATCACTAATGCTTCTGAAGCCTCGCTAGCATGTTAACACAATCAGGTTCTCACCTCAAAACCCTCCAAATAATACATGAAACAAAGTCTGTGCTGTGTTAACCAAAGAGCACATAAGTATTCCTATGTCAAAGTCCTCAGATAAACAGAGCACTGAGGTGGCAGTGGGGGCAGGCCTAGCTCACCTTCACGTTGTGATCCTGAATGTTGTTGTCTGCAATGGCTTGCAGAAATGCCTGGGAATGGTCCCCCAGGGCCCGTCTGTGGGAGCAGAGTCGAGATTTGCTGGCAGGTGTGCCCCCTGGGGAGCTGCAGTGGTCCTCGTCTTTCTCCTCGTTGTAGCTGTAGTGGATCTGGCTGGTCTGCAGGCCTCCAGAGAAGATGGATGACTGAAGCCATTCTAGAAAATGCACACGCAAACATGAAAGAGAAACTCAAGTGCACAACTCAAAATAAATACTAAAAAAAAAAAAAGATGCTCAACTGAACACTCAATTTAGAAGGTGAAATTCAGCATCATTCATATGAAAGAGCTCCACCTAACATGTTTACACAGGTTGACTTATAATTCCTCTATCTACGTGAACACACTTTCTGGTGATTCCACACGCCTCAGGCATGGCATCAGAACTCAGGATCGTAGTTCCAGTCCAACATTCTCTGGATACCTGTGCTCTGCCTGCAGCTGCCTGGTTCCACAGGTACCGTGTGAAGACTGAGGTGCACATTCTAACAGGGAAGGCAGCAAAGGGCACCGCTGACACAATTAATCACAGGATTTCAAGTCCAAAACTGTGCAACAGATGACTATGGGGGTACCAGGGAGACTGGAAGACAGACCACCGCTATTCTGAGGGTCAGTGAGGGACTTGTGGAAGCAACAACTGAGCTAAGATGAGGAATAAGACCCAGACGCTGAGTATCCAGGCAGGGAACAGCACATCTGAAGGGTTTCTACAAAGAATTACATCCTCAGGGTAGGCTATGTATTCCTAGAGCACTTATAAAGGAATGAAAAGGAGAAAATATTTAAGAAACACACAATCTGTAATGAAGGATAGATCCTTGGAGATGGGAGGGCCGATGGACTGGAAAGGAGACCTGTGCGTGGTGCAAGGCATGGGATCAACCAGTGCGAATGTTAATTACAACTGCTTATGGCAACTTGAGGGAGTGCACCACTACAGATCTCTATTAACGATCTGTGTTATCAAATACTGCTCCAAATCCAAGCAATCAAAGCGGGATGCACTTAGTGTTCTTTTACTGGACATTTAGATTTTAGAGCACTCAGGAGCATTCCCCAACACACCACATTCGTTCTTCTGAAACACTAATCCAATGCCGACTCTCTCTGGCCCCCTCTCTTTAAGCACAGGACAGCCCCTCCTTACTGCTCCAAGATAAGCCTCTGATCCTCCTGTGGATCGGACCCACCTGCCAGGGCCCATGGCACCCTCTGCCCTGGAGTTCGCCAGCCCTGCCCTCCTTGCCAATTTAAACAAAGCCCATCTTCTGGCAAGCAATGAGCCTTGAGGAGGAGGGAAGGAAGCAGACACCTCAGAGGGCACCACAGGCAGCCCAGCACCTAGCACTGCACAAAGGTCCGCCCAACGGGGGGCTGTATGGACACCAAGATCCTCCTTCCCTGCAAGCCTCTGCCACACCCACTCCTGCAAGCAGCAGGAAAGCCCTGCTCCTCTCAGCAGTGCCCTTGACACTCCTGTGTTTTCTGCCCAGAATGCTCTCTCACGCAATTTCAGGACTGCTGCCAATGTGAAGCCTTTCTTCTCCCAGAACCATGTATGAACATCTCCATTTCACCATTCACCACCTTGTAATGTGACCTGCTTAGAATGGTGGCTCATCAACAAGCAGCAGCTGAAAGCAGAGGCGTGTCCTACCCATCACTGCATCCTGAACACCTCGCATGGTAACGGCACCAGAAAGCAGAGGTGTGTCCTATCTATCACTGTATCCTGAACACCTCGTATGGTAACGGCACCAGGCAAATGCTCAACAGAAGCTGCTCACATGGATGGACAGACAGACAGATGGGAAATGCACAACTACATGAAGGAAAATGGAAACACATCTTAGGAGACAGAAAGAAGCTTATTATTTTAGGTGGTTACAAAGGCTGCCATCCTGAAATATAACTGACTTGAGCCTGGTCTGGTAAAAACGCAGTGCTCAAATAGTATGCTCTTCCCTGAGAGGACAGCTGATCCACATTCTGTGCAATTTCTGGGCATGCAGGGAGACAAAAGCCATGCTGGGCCCATCAGGCAGAGGCTGCAATACGTGAGACCACCAAGGGCAGACGGGTAGACATTCCTGCACACTTTTTAGCTTCCTCTGCAGCAACAGACCATGAGGGCAAATGACAACCACTCACAGCTGTTTCTACCTGATTGAGTCTCACTATCCTTATTATTTTTTTTTTTGTCATCATCAACTGTGTTGAATCCTCCTCTCCTTTTTTTTTTTGAGACCGAGTCTCGCTCTTGTCACCCAGGCTGGAGTGCAGTGGCGTGATCTCAGCTCACTGCAACCTCCGTCTCCTGGGTTCAAGCAATTCTCCTACCTCAGCCTCCCGAGTACCTAGGATTACAGGCACCCGTCACCACACCCAGCTAATTTTTGCATTTTTAGTAGACATGGGGTTTCACCACATTGGCCAGGCTGGTCTTGAACTCCTGACCTCAGGTGATCCACCCGCCGCAGCCTCCCAAAGTGCTGGGATTACAGGCATGAGCCACTGCCTGGCCATCTCCTGCTTTTTTAAAGAGAGTCTTGCTCTGTCACCCAGGCTGGAGTGCAGTGGTATGATCATGACTCACTGCAGCCTCAACCTCCCAGGCTCAAGCAATCCTCCTACCTCAGCCTCCTGAGTATCTGGGACTACAAATACGTGCCAACATGCCTGGCTAATTTTTGTGTTTTTTGTAGAGATGGGGTTTTGCCATGTTGCCCAGGCTGGTCTCAAAATCTTGATCTCAAGCAATCCACGTGCCACAACCTCCCAAAGTGCTGGGATTACAGGCATGAACCACTGTGCCTGGCCCTCTCCCACTCTTAATGGCACTTACAGTTCAAAAAAAAAAAAATCTGCTAATTAGCAAAAAGTAAAGATTTTCTTACTGGCACATTCAATCTCGACAGGAGACAGCGGTGTGCTCATTGCTAAATAGGAAGCGTGTAATCCGAGAAGCAGGCCCAGATTCCTCTCTGTGTCTATCAGAGGTGAGGAGAGACTCCCCAGATCTGGTATGGTGACGCCTTCTTGGTCAGGCTGGAAAAATAAATTTAATCATCAATCTGAGGAAACAGAATTAATTAAAAACATAAAACCAAAAGGACAGCTCTCTCCTGCAGCTGTACCGCACGTGAGCCCAGGGGTGCTCTGGGCGTTCTGCCCCTCCATCCTGTAATGAGTTGGTGCTGCTGTGCCCAAGTAACAGCAGATACCATATAAACCCACATGCCCTATAAAGCAGGCAGCAACCGCACAGCCCTACTGTAGAAAAACTAAACCACAGATACATGATTTGGCTAGAATATTCCTTAGGAATCAGTTTCCAAAGTGACTGTACACCATGCTTCAGAAAGTATAATGAATTGTTACATGCATAAAGAACCCACTGGGCAACAAAACTATGACAAGTATTCGATGACAAGTATTAGTGGACTGTGACCACACATGTAGAGGAAATGAAATTTATTCTAACAAAAATCAAACTCTGAAAAAAGCAAGAGTTCAACTTTTTCAGTCACAGAAGATATTTACAGCAAAGTTAATTCTCCCCTTCATAAACTGTTTTAAGCCCTGCCCTAATGGCATTTAATACATCTTATTACTTGTCGATACCTAGTAAGCTAATCCCAATATATAAATTCTATGTGTTCGTGAATACATAGGAAGGACATATTTCTATTGTAAAGAATTACACTTCTACATAGTTCTTCCCAAAAAATACATACCTCAAGATTATAAGCCATTCCAAATTTCTACATAAGACCAAAGTTTAACCTCTTTTCTTGTGGAACACTGCCTATATTTCTCACAAATTGATCATTTAAAAAACAATCTTTCAAGACCAGTACATCACAGATCTTAACATGAATAAATGTAAATTCATTTATGACAAAACTTCTAAAGGATCTTTATATTTATCCCTAATGCCCCGCAAAAGACCCAGATATCAGTACTTCTAGATCCAAATATTCCTATCACAAACACACAGAGGGTATCCCCTGCCATCCTCTGCATCACTCAAGGCATACAGCCTCACCTCCAAATACTGGCCAACACAAAATGCGTGCATGGATTCCCGGGTGTCTTCAAACTGCAAAGCAGCTTCCAAAGCTACCACTGGGTCTTCCCCTGCAAACTGAGCTGAAACAAAAAGGGAAAAAGCAACATGAGTTCAATTCAGCTTGCCTGAAGAGCTACAGGAGAAATAGTGAGTAGGAAATAAGTTAGGCTCTTAACTCAAAAGTGAGGGTTACCAGAATATAATGACCTCCCACTGTCTCCCAGGGTTGCCTGGGCCAACTCGGAACTTGAAATGAGTTCCAAGTATTAAAACAAAAGATACATAATGAAAGGAAATTCTTCGAATGTGCTGAATTTGTTGATAAGACAGACACCAAAGCCACAGATACATTAAAATATGCGGGGGCTGGCACAAAACTAAAGGAATCATTTATAAGCCAAATACTCTGCTTAAAATGATACAGGCTGTAACTTTTAACCAGGAAATAACAAGTGTAATCTTACCAAGAATACTATTTTCTGTTAACGACTGTGTCTGGAAGTCCTTTATATCATACACTTTCCCGTCAATCACAGTCCAGAAGCCTCCATCGTTATTATGGTTCTCCAAATCAGCTATGCGTACAAGTGTCACTTTCTCATTATTTCTACAGTTCTGACCTGTAAAAAATGACTCTGTATATACAGAAACCAGAATCAGTCCATTGATCAATCAACAGGTAAAATGAAAAGAACAAACTGTGTGAAAGAACTACAAGCAGAAATAAACAAATCCACAATCACAATGGGAGAAATACATACCTAGCTCTGAAACTAATACCACACATACAAATTCTGTTAAATATAGAATGCTTTAAAAAAAAGTCTAGGCAGCATGAATACCAAATCGGGCCATGCCAGGCCATAGAGTAAATCTCAACAGATTTCAAAGAAATAAACTTACAGAGCATGTGTGCTGACTACAATGCAGTTAAATTACAAATAGGTTTTCAAAAATTCATTCAAAATAAAATAAAAATGACTCTGTATACACAGAAAATAAAAATATTCATCCACATATTTGAAAATTACAAGATACACTTATAAGTAACCCAAAATTCTAAGAAAAAATGACTATGAAAATTAGAAAATGTGTTCAGTTAATAATCAAAATACTGCAGATCGAAATTGGTGACATACAACTAAATGCATGCTTGAGGGCATTTATGCCTTTAAATGTATATATTTACACATTAAAGGGGGAAAAAGCTAAAAAAGAAAAGAAACACCAAATCAATAAAAGTCTGTTAGTTCATAAAAATACTCAAAAAAAAGAAAACCTGAGTGGTGGTCACCTATGCAAGTGCTAGGATACCAACTCAATATTATGAAAAATAGTTAAAGGGAGGTGGCAGTTCAAGAAGTCAAGCTTAGATTATGTCCTTGCTGTACAAATTGTACCTCCTGCTAACCAGACAGCAGAGGGCAAGGTTGGTAGGGGATTTTATAGAGGATACGCAACACATGAATTCCCTGGTCTAGCTTCACAGAACTAAAGCGGGGAGCCACCGAGCATTACAGGCCTCCTGAGCCAACAGAAAGCATGCAGCATGACCCCAGACATAACACCGCCCCAACGAGACTGAATTCAAATCCAACCAAACCTCTAGATCTAACCAGCAGATTAATGTAACTAACAGAAGAACATGTTGGTCTAGAATAAGAGAATGCAATCAACCAAGTTCAGAAAATGTGAAGTTCTCCAAAATAACCAACCTGCTTCTTTGAAAAAGAAAACGGTATGATCAGAGACAGGGAGAAGAGGGCCTGGAGCCATGTTGTTTGGGGAAAGAGACTAGAAGCATATGTCAAGCAATGCCAATACGCAGAACATGCTCAGGTCTTAATTCAAAATTACCACCTAAAAAAGGCATTTTTGAGATAGTCCAGGAAAATGTAACATGGACTGCATGTTAGATTAAGGAATCACTGTTAATCTTATAGACAGGATAATGATATTGTAGGGTTTTTTTAAAATCCTTATCATTAAGAGGTAAAATACCTTAAAATGTTTTAAAGACAGAGTTATGCTTTAAAATAATCCAATCAGCCGGGCGCGGTGGCTCATGCCTATAATCCCAGCACTTTGGGAGGCCGAGGCGGGCAGATCATGAAGTCAGGAGATCGAGACCATCCTGGCTAACACAGTGAAACCCCATCTCGTACCATGCCATATTACTGCATTTAACAGGTATGATGAAGCAACTGAACAGGCTATTTTTCCATTTCCATTGCATTTCAACAGAGCCCATTAAAAAGTAGTATAAATGGCCCTTAAATACTAATATATTTTAAAATGCTCAAACTATGTCGGGGTCACCACTTTGTGCTTTAGCAGGCAAAATCCCAAAAGCCCACACACAAGGCTGGGAGACCAGCATCCCTATTGGTGGTGAGAGAAATCAAGATGTACAGGAGCAATCTGGTGACAACCAGCCCACACGAGGTCCATCCCCACCTGTGCATGTGCACAGGCACACACGCGTGCACACATGGAGGACACGTGTTCCAGGCCAGGCCTTGCAGTACTATTTGTGTTTTCTGTTGTTGTTGTTTGAGATGGAGTTTCACTCTTGTTGCCCAGCCTGGAGTGCAGTGGCGCGATCTCGGCTCACTGCAACCTCTGCCTCCCAGGTTCAAGCGATTCTCCTGCCTCAGCCTCCCAAGTAGCTGGGATTACAGGCACCCGTCACCACGCCCCGCTAATTTTTGTATTTTTTAGTAGAGACGGGGTTTCTCCAAGTTGGCCAGGCTGATCTCAAACTCCCAACCTCAGGTGATCCACCCACCTCGACCTCCCAAAGTGCTGGGATTACAGGCGTGAGCCACTACACCCGACCCTCAGCACTATTTGTATAGCAACATTGTGGCAATAAGCCCAAGTGTCCACCAATAAGAGACTCACTAAAGAAAGATAGATAAAAGACACATCCACACACTGAAGACTAAGCTGATTTATAAAAACAAAGAGGGACACTCTGATAAGGTACTCCAGTATATATGGTTAGTTAAAAAAAAAAACAAAAAACAAGCAACACAAGTAATGAAGCATGCTACCATGAACGTACTCATGCCAGAGAACAAGGAGGTTACAGAGGAGACTGGAAAGTCAGAGGGAGCAGGTGGGAAAATGGGTGGAAGGGGTGGGCAGGGGAAGCGACAGTGTGTCTCTGCCTAGGTTTGATTTTTGAACCATGTGACTGTATTTTTTTTTTTAATGACTGTAAAACAAAATAAATACTCTTTATACTAGAAATAAAATGTTAGAAAAATCTGGATTCAAAACTAGGATTACTGTTCTGCACTGGCAAAGTTCACTACCATTCCCAAAGGCAGTTTTCTCATTGACATAATGAGATACAACAGCGTGCATGAGGTCCTCAGCGGGCCTGCACCCTACAGGTGCTCCACACATGCAAATCACTACCATTACTATTACATAAGAGATATAATACATAATTATACTGTCACTACTATAACCAGCATGACATACTAAGACAGCCTGCGTTCAGAGTATGAAGAAGGCTGTGGAACCCCCTGCAGAAGGTGGGAGGGCCTGGGGCTGTGGATAAAGGGGAGCTCTCTGGGGCTGTGCCACCTGAACCTGGAACCCGGGCCCCCAGGTTGGGTCGCCAGGCCTGTGCGCCTCAGCTTGCTCATCACTCACTCTCAACACGGATAACACCTTCAACTGCAAACACGTTTAAAAACCACAGGCCAGCTCCCCCTACCAATACCAGAAAAAACAAGTCTCCACACGGGCCCAGGATGAGAACCTACAAGTGGTACTAGCTACAAAACACATGGAGAACACGGTTCTTGCACACACCTTATGAGACGTCGGAGAGCTACACAGAGGAGGCATCTACAGGGTGTAGCCAGACGGTCTAAATGGGCCATGACAACAACCGCCGTTTGTTGCAGATCAATGGCAAGCCTGTTGTCTTGTGGAAGGGTGAGGTACCTCAGGAAACTCTCACTGGGGCTCAGAGGACCAGACAAAAGCTAGAAAGGAAAAGTAAACAAAAATTCAGAAATGGTGGGAAAAACTAAAGTAACACAGTTTTTTACCCACGCTTTATATTTTGGTATTGACTCATTTGACCCATCAAATGACAATGTTGATGATACAGTTATACTATACGTCTATATATTTATGCAGCATATAAACTGTATAAATCTCTAAATCTGCTGTATACATGTACACAACATTGACTGTGCATGTATACATTTATGATACCATAGGTAAGTTGAATCCACACAGATTACTAACATGACCAAACCACTCTACAAGCCTAGGACCCCTGGAGAAAGGCAGAACCACCTCTGTGGGAACCCAGCACAGCATCTCAAGCTGGCCTTGAAATCTAAAACCAAAACCTTTATTTTAATCTAAATGTTGCCCACTCTGGAGAACACCTACTTTCATTTGCAAATTAAATCACAGTTCTAATTCTTCTAAAGGCAGAAGACCCCTATTATCATTAGTTTAAAGACTGCCAAATAATAGGCTGGGCATGGTGGCTCACATCTGTAATCCCAGCACTTTGGGAGGCCGAGGCAGGCAGATCACAAGGTTAGGACTTTGAGACCACCCTGGCCAACATGGTGAAACCTCATCTCTATTAAAAATATAAAACTGAGCTGGGCATGGTGGCGGGTACCTATAATCCCAGCTACTCGAGAGGCTCAGACAGGAGAATCATTCGAACTAGGGAGGCGGCAGTTGCAGTGAGCCGAGAACGTGCACTGCACTCCAGCCTGGGAAACAGGCAGAGACTCCGAAGACGGGAAGGGACGGGATGGGACGGGATAGGACAGGACGGGATGGGATAGGACGGGACGGGAAGGGAGAAAGAAAGCAATGTACCCGCAAAACAAACAAACAAACAAAAAAACAGTCTCGGGGACCTATGGGACTATAACAACTCCGGTCACTGAACTCACGAAGGGACAGGAGAAAGAAGGTGGGGCTGAAACTGTACTCTATGAAGTGATGGCTTACAAGTTCCCAAATTTGGCAAGAGACATAAATCTACAGATCTAAGGTAAGCAAACCCTAAACAGGATGAACCCAAAGAAATCCAAACTAAGACATATAATAATCAAACTCCAAAAAACAAAAGACAAAACATTTCAAAAGCCACTAAACAAAAACAGTGCCTTAACTATCGTAGATTAACAAGTCAAATGACAGCGAATTTCTCATCAGAAACCATGGAGCCCAGCTGAAAGTACAAAATATTTTTCAAGCGATGAAAAGAACCATTAACCCAGAATTCTTATATCCAGCAAAAATGTCCTTCAGGAATGAAAAGGAAAGCAAAACATTCTCAGAGGAAGTGAAACAGAATTTGTCACCAGAAGACCCACACCAAAAGAAAGGCTAATGGAAGTTCTCTAAGCAGAATGGCAACCATCAAAGAAGAAAACCCTGGAACTTCTGGAAGGAGGAGATGACAAGCACACCAACGCATAAATACAATAGACTTTTCCCTCACCTCTTGACTTTGCTAAATTATGTCTGAAGGTTCAACCAAAAATTATAACATTGTCATATGTGGTTATCAATGTAAGTAAATGAAATATTTAAGGCAAGTATATTATGAACAGAAGAACATAAAGGAACATCAAGGGAGGTAGTTTCTATATCCCTGAAGCTGGTAAATGACAACATCAGGTAAAATCTGATAAGTGTTCATACATACACAGGCTGAGTGTCCCTTATAAAATGCTCAGGAGCACAAGTGTTCCAAATTTCAGATTTTTATCAGATTTAGGAATATCTGCATATAAATAATGAGATATTTTGGGGATAGGACCCAAGTCTAAATACATTCATTTATGTTTTATATATAACTTATACACAGAGCCTGAAGGTAATTTTATATAGCATGCTTAGTAATTTTGTGCATGAAACAAAGTTCATGCTAAGTACTTATGAATGGAATTTTCAATTTGGGGGCGTCATGCTGGAGTGCCATAAAGTTTCGAATTTTGGGGCATTTCAGATTTTGGATTTTGGGTTTACAGATGCTCAATCTGTATGTAATATATTACCTAGAAAAGCCACTAAAAAAGCTATACAAAAAGATACACTCTAAAACACTACAGATGAAATAGAATGCTAAAAATGGTCAAGTAAACCACAGAGAGCCAGGAAGAACCAAACCGAAAAAATGAAAAACAGAAGAAATAGAAAATGCAAAACAAAATGGCAGTGTTAAGCCTCAATTTATCAATGACATTAAATTAAATGTAAACAATCTAAATACATCAATTAAAAGACACTAGGAGAGTAGACTAGAGAACATGATCCAACTATATGTTGTCCATAAGAAAGTGACTTCAAACAGGCAAACTGAAAATAGAAGTATAGAAAAAAAAAGATCATGCAAACATTACTGAAAGGACAGCAGGAGTTGGCTATATTTATATCAAATAAAGTAAACTTCAGAACAAAGATAATTACCAGGAGGGCCGGGCACAGTGGCTCACGCCTGTACTCCTAGCACTTTGGGAGGCCAAGGTGGGTGGATCTCAGGAGTTTGAGACCAGCCTGGCCAATATGGCAAAACCCCATCTCTACTAAAAATACAAAAATTAGCTGGGTGTGATGGCAGAAGCCTATAATCCCAGCTTCTCAGGAGGCTGAGGCAGGAGAATCACTTGAACCTGGTAGGGTCGGAAGTTGCAGTGAGCTGAGATCATGCCACTTCACTCCTGCCTGGGCAAAAGGAGCGAAACTCCGTCTCAAAAAAAAAAAAAAGATAATTACCAGGAACCAACGGCAACATTACAAAATGAGAACTTGGTCAATCCACCATTAAGACACAGCAATTCGAAACGTGCAGACACCAAACAAACAAAAAAACAATGAATAGAACCGAAAGGAGAAAAAGACATTTATACTTTTATAGTTGGAGACCTCAAAATCTCTCTCTACAGCTGATAAAATTAGGAGACAGAAAAGCTGCCAGGATATAGAACGCAACATCACCATCCATCAACTAGAGCCAATCAAAATTTATAGAACACTCCAGCCAATAATAACAGAATACATAATCTTTTCAAGTATCCACAAAACAAATACTAAGTTAGAACATATTCTGAGGCATAAAACAAACCTAACAAATTTTTTGAAATTAAAATCACACAGCATATGTTCCCTCAAACAATGGGAACAAATCTGAAGTCAACAAGAGAACAATTACAGGAAAATTGCCTAACTCTCAGAAACTAAACAATAAACTTTTACATAACCCATGGATCAAAGAGAAAGTCTCAAGGGAAATTTTAAAATATATTGTGAACTGAGAGAAAATGCAAGTACAATACATCAAAATGTATGGGAAAGAGCTACAGTGGGTGACGAGAGACAAATTTACAGCACTAAATGAATGGTACATTAGAAACTTGGAAACAAATCAATAATATAAGTGCCCACGTTGACAACCTAAAAGAAAATTAAAAATAGCAAAATCAACCCAAAAGTAAGCAGAAAGGAAGAAATAATTAAGGTAAGAGTAGAAACAAAGTGAAAACAGAAAAACAATAAACAGTAAAGCAAAAAGCTGGTTCTTTGAAAAGATCAATAAAACTGACACACCTCTCTAAGCAAGACTGAAAAAAAAAAAAAAGACATAAATTACCCAACATTAGTGATGAAACAGGCTCTAAAGATATGAAAAAAGATAATTAGGAATTACTAGGAACAACTCTACACACATAACTTTGACAACTTGGGCAAAATAGACTTATTCCTCAAATAATGCAAATTACCACAACTCACCAAATATAAAATAGATCATTTGAATAGCTCTACCACTATCAAGAAAACTGAATTCATAATTCAAAGAATCCCAAAAAAAAAAAGAAATTACCAGATCCAAATGAACTCACTGGATAATTCCATCAAACATTAAAAAAGAATTAACACAGACTCAAAACAATCTCTTCTGGAAACTAGAAAAGGAAAAACTTCCCAATTCATATTAAGAAGCTAATATTAGAGCTAATATTAGCATTTTAAGAAGCTAATATTAGAGCTAATATTAGCATTTTAAGAAGCTAATATTAGGTACCGTACCTAAAGACAGTACAAACTACAGAACAATATACCTTAATATATATATAGACACAAAAATATTCAGTGAATTATTAGCAAGTAGAAGTAAACAATATATAAAAAGAATTCCACATCATCGCCAAGTAGTTTCATTCCAGGAATGCAAAGCTGGTTCAACAGTCAAATATCAATGTAACCCACCCTATTAATAGACTAAAGAACAAAAATCACATAATTACATATCAATTGATTTAGAAAAAGCAAATGACAAAATTCAATACTCGTGAATGATAAAAATTCTCAGAAAATAGCAACAAATGGGAACTTCATCATCTTGATAAACAGCATTTACAACACCTTAAGCTAAAACCTATGCCAACAAGAATGTCAGAAAGGGTCCTCCCAGACCTATTTATACAGCAGAGAGAATCATTAAGAATGATTTAGATAGTTACTAAGAGTTTACTCTCCTAAGAGATTACAACACCCAATGGCCAGCAAGCCCTTTTCATTAGACAAAAAGAAAAGCTGTGATCTGTCAACACTCTCAGAAGGTTCACTGTGAAATGTGCACTTCTGAACTCCTGCTGAGGGCCTACACGCTGCAATGTTGAGAAGCAAGTGTCCAGAGGTCTCCTTGGAAACATTGCAAAAAAAATGTGAGGGACTGATGGATGAATAGAAGGATGAAAAGGTGGAGAGAACGGTGATAAAGCACGTGGGATGATGCCAGCGGCACAATCTTAGGTGGTGAATATGTGGGTGCGCGCTGTAAAATTCTTTCAACTTTTCTGTATATATTTTTTTCATAATAAAATGTTGGAAAAAATAAACCTGTGAAAAAGGAAGCTTTAGTCAAACATATCTAAGCAAAAGACAAAACAAATTCTAAATTCCTATGGCTCAAATTAACGTGTTTTTCTTTTTAGGCTGAGATGGAAGAGTAAAAAAACAGAAAAAGAAATGAAAGGAATAGGAGCTATTCTAACAGCTACAAATTCCACCTGCAGTTTGATTAAAGATGGCGTGGCTCAAGAATATGCTTTGAATCCAAGCCCCTTCAAGGCTGCCAGGTACAGAGTCGGTTCTGCAAAAGCTCTGTACCTGTGAACAAGCAGAGCTTCCAAATAAACCGATTAAAGCTGCCCTGAGTCAATAAGCCGGGCTTTAATCTGAGCAAGAAAGGTACATTTTTAGTCTAGTTACCCACCCATAACTGTAGGTACTTTGATACCTAGGTGAGGGGAAACATGGAGAAAGGCAAAATAACAGATTTTTAAAATCACAACAAATCTTTATCAAACATTTGTGCCAGGCACTGACTTAAGAGCTTCAAATGCATTATTTCATGTCATTTGCACAGCAACTCTCTGAGTAAGTACTTTCACTTATTTTATATATAATTTTAATTATTTACATTATATTATACTTATTCCTTTTTTTTGTTTGTTTTTTTTGTTTTGAGATGGAGTCTCACCCTGTCACCCAGGCTAGAGTGGTGGTGCAATCTTGGCTCACTGCAAGCTCCGCCTCCTGGGTTCATGCCATTCTCCTGCCTGAGCTTCCCGAGTAGCTGGGACTACAGGTGCCCACCACCACGCCCAGCTAATTTTTTTGTATCTTTAGTAGAGACAGGGTTTCACCACGTTAGCCAGGATGGTCTCGATCTCCTGACCTCATGATCCGCCCGTCTCAGCCTCCCAAAGTGCTGAGATTACAGGCATGAGCCTCTGCACCCGGCCACTTATTCCTGTTTTATACATGAGAGGCCCAAGGTGAGACAAAGTGATTTGTGTAGAGTCAGAGATAAAGCCAAAATTGATACCCAGACAGACTGAAAAACTTCTCTGTCAGAAAATCTAGAAATGGTAAAGGGAGATCTTCAAACTGAAGGAACATGATAACACAAGGTAGCTGGGACAGAAACAAAACCTTAAGGGCCCATAATGGTAAAATGAAAGTTAACATAAAAAACTTTTTTTTGGCCAGCCATGGTGGCTCTTTGGGAGGCCGAGGTGGGTGGATCACCTGAGGTCAGGAGTTCGAAACCAGCCTGACCAACATGACGAAACCATGTCTCTACTCAAAAATACAAAATTAGCC
The DNA here is from genome assembly GCF_000001405.40 of Homo sapiens. Lineage (NCBI taxonomy): Eukaryota > Metazoa > Chordata > Mammalia > Primates > Hominidae > Homo > Homo sapiens. Next base: position 20,472,537 of record NC_000015.10, read on the forward strand.
AGGTGTGGTGGCGTATGCCTGTAATCCCAGCTACTCGGGAGGCTGAGCCAGAATCGTTTGAACCCAGGAGGCAGAGGCTGCAGTGAGCCAAGATCATGCCATTGCACTCCATCCTGGCAGCCTGGGCAACAAGACCAAAACTCCGCCTCAAAAAAAAAAAAAAAAAGAGGCCAGGTGTGGTGGCTCACACCTATAATCCTATAATCCCAGCACTTAAGGGTGGCTGAGGCACGTGGATCACCTAAGGTCAGGAGTTCGAGGCGAACCTGGCAAACATAGTGAAACCCTGTCTCTACTAAAAATACAAAAACGTTAGCCAGGCACGGTGGTGTGTGTCTGTAATCCCAGCTACTAGGGAGGCTGAGGCAGGAGACTCGCTTGAACCTGGGTGGCGGAGGTTGCAGTGAGCTGAGATTGTGCCATTACACTCCAGTCTGGGCAACAACAGCAAAACTCCGTCTCAAAAAAAAAAAAGACTTTTTTTTCTCTTTTCAAATTTGAGGGGAAAAAATGTAATTGCCTATTTAAAGCAAAAACAAAAACATCATATTGTGGGGTTTATACCATGTTTCACTTGGACATGACACAGCAACACTACCAACCAAGAACATGTCAGAAGCAGGAAGCTACAGTCAGAGCACTGCCCCGCGGCTCAGGCAGTGTAATACCATTTGAGAGTGGGCAGTGACAAGTGAAAGATGTAACTGAAAACGCCAGAGATGATAGATTTAAACCCAAGTAGTCTAAAGATTCCAAATAAAAAACAGAGGTTGTCAGGGTGAATAAAGAAGCAAGACCTAATTAAATGATACCTGAAAGAAATCTACTTTACACATACACAAAGTTTGAAAGTGAAAAAAGCTAAACCTGGCAAACACACCACGCAAACACCAAATCAGAAGAAAGGAGAGTAGTCAGACCAAGGTGACTTCACAACAAAGAATGTCACCGGAGATTAAGGGGGTCAAATTTATGAATATGGCGTAAAAATCCTAAAAGTGCATGCACCTTATAACATTCTCAAATACATGAAGCAAAACCTGCAGAGCTGAAAGAAAATAATCCATAATTAGCATGAGAGATTTCAATTCTCCTCAGAAGAAAGAGGAACTAAGCAGTGAAATTGCTCTTCATGCCTCCCCAGCACAATGGAGATACTCCTGGGAAATAAAGCCAGTCACTGGGGCTGATCTCCCAGAACACTGAGACTGGCTTCTCTGTAAATAAATGACTGGTATTTGCTAGGAGAAGTGTCCTTATCTATGAAATGTTTTTAGCAAGATGTGGTTAGTTTAGGATTGTGTTTGGTAAACATACCTAAAATCCATGGACTTATGGGACATGGCTCCCTGGAAAAGGTTCCCTAAGGTGTATAAACTATCTGACTACAAAACGGGAACACTGCACATCCTTAATGCTCCTTGTGCAGTGAGATGACGACACACCTCAGTGAGAGGACCACACGCCTCAGTGAGAGGTCTCATCTCGCAGGCCGGGCTCAAAGAGGATGGACCTGCGGGGGTTGCACAGACTCTCCCACATCTCTCCCCACTTTGCCTGAGCACACAAGTGAGGATATTACTTGTATCTTTAAAGTTACTAAGTAATCAGCTACGGGTAACATCTCTGAGATTCATGTCAAACTAATGTGGTAAGCCAACCTTGTGTGTTAGTTCAACTCCTCTCCTAACAGTGACTAGAACAAGCAGGCAGAAAACTATTTCAAGTCAAGGATACCTGAACACTATCAACTTGATCTCACTAAGCTTTACAGAGCAGCAAAATACACTTTTTTTTTTTTTTGAGATGTAGTCTTGCTTTGTCACCCAGACTAAAGTGCAGGGGTGCAATCGAGATTACAGGCACCCACCACCACACCCAGCTAATTTTTGTATGTTTCGTAGAGACAGGGTTTCACTATGTTGGCCAGGCTGGTCTCGAACTCCTGACCTCAAGTAATCCACCCACCTCAGCCTCCCAAAGTGTTGAGATTACAGGCAGGAGCCACTGCACCCAGCCACATTCTTATTACATGTGCATGAAACATTCCACAGAATGCACCATATTCTGGGGCTTCAGACAAGCCTCAGCATTGAAATCACAGAATATGTTCTCTGACTACAACTAATTTAGAAATTGTTAACAGGAGATATTTGAAAATCCCCAAATATTTGGAAATGAAATAACACATTTCCAAATAATAAGTGAGTAAAAGAAGAAATTAAAAGGGAAATTAGAAAATATTTTCAACTGAATGAAGATGAAAATGAATAAACATTTCCAAATTTGTGAAATGTGGCTAAACAATGCTTAGAGGGAAATTTATATTATAGTTTTGAACACTTGTTAGAAAAGACAAAAAATCTGAAGTCAATGATCTAAGCCTTTACCTTAAGAAACTAGAAGAGACAGAAGAACAAATGGAACCCAAAGCCAGCAGAAAAAAGGAAATAATAAAGAGTAAAGCAGAAATCAATGAAAAAGAAAACAAACAAAATCAATAAAACCAACAACTGGTTCTTTGAAAAAACTCAAACTGATGACTTCTAGAAAGACTGATCAAAATCGAAAGAGAGAAAATACAAGGCACATTTCAGCAAATTTCTGGATAACAGGTAGTATATGCTGGTACTTACTACATGCAAAATAATAGCATACGCACTTTGTCTGGCCTACTGTACTGATCCCATAATAACCTATGAGGTAGGTACTACTACTAACCCCAAATACGAATTTTTTTTTAAGAGACAGGGTCTCACCCTGTCACCCAGGCTGGAGTGTAGAGGCACAATCATAGATCACTGCAGCTTCAAACTGATGGCCTCAAGCAATTCTCTCACCTCAGCGTCCCAAAGTGCTGGGATTACAGGCGTGAGCTACCATGCATGGTGTCACTAATTATTTTTATATATGTACATTTACATATGTATGTCCATGCCAGGAAAGAAAAGCCTGAATATCCACTCTGAAGGGATAATAGTGGCTAACTCTTAGAGGAAAACTGAAATTGGGGTGGGCAGCCAGGTGAAATTTCTGCTTTTATAATCGATACATTTTTATAAGAAAACATTTATTTGATGTATATTTTTAATTGGAACGAAAATGCATCAGACATTTTAAAAAATTCAATTACACACAAAAAAGTAAGCAAAGAATAAATATATGGGTTTTACTGGGTTGGAGAAAGGGAAGAGATTATGAAAGTCCATCCATGATAAGGAACTCCTATAACCCAAAACAAAAAACTCAATTAAAAAATGGAATTAGCTGGGTGTGGTGGTGCCCGCCTGTAGTCCCAGCTACTCGGGAGGCTGAGGCAGGAGAATGGCGTGAACCCGGAAGGTGGAGGTTGCAGTAAGCCAAGATCATGCCACTGTACTCCAGCCTGGGTGACAGAACAAGACTCTGTCTCTAAAAAAAAAAAAAAAAAAAAAGAAAGGGCAAAAGGGCCAGGCACAGTGGCTCATACCTGTAATACAGCACTTTAGGAGGCCAAGGTGGGTGGATCACCTGAAGTCAGGAGTTCAAGACCAGCCTGGCTAACATAGTGAAACTTCGTCTCTACTAAAAATACAAAAAATTAGCCAGGCACGGTGGCGGACACCTGTAATCCCAGCTACTCGGGAGGATGAGGCAGGAGAATCACTTGAACCTGGGAGGAGGAGGTTGCAATGAGCCAAGATTGCACCACTGCACTCCAGCCTGGGCAACAAGAGCCAAACTCCATCTCCCCAAAAAAAAAAAAAAACAAAAAACGGGCAAAGGATTTGAATAGACATTTCTCCAGTGAATGTATACAAATGGCCAATAAGCATGTAAAAAGATGCTCAGCATGACTAATCAACAGGGAAATACAAATCAAAACAATGAGATGCTGTACCTACTCACACAAATTAGGATGGTTATCATCAGAAAACAAAAAGTGTTGGTGAGGGTGTGGAGAAATTGGAACCTTAGTATACTGCTGCAAGAATGTAAAACAATGTAGCCACTGTGGAAAACAGTTTACTGCTTCCTCAAAAAGTTACACATAGTGCCAGGTGCGATGGCTCACATCTGAAATCTCAGCAACTCAGGAGTCTGAGGCAGGAAGATCCCGTGAAGCCAGGAGTATAAGACCGGCCTGGGCAACACAGTGAGATTCTGTCTCTAATTAGTCAAGCGTGATGGCTGGGCAACAATGTCAATATATTTAATGCCAATGAACTGTACACATAAAACTGGTTAAAACGGTAAGTTACATGGTATGTATATTTTACCACAATATTTAAATTTTTTAATTAGTTTTTAAAAAATTGTTACCAAAAAAATACTAAGAATCCATTCAAGTTATTTAGAAAGGGAGTGTCAGATCAACCTTTCCAAAGTGCCAAAATTCGCAAGATCACCTGGTTGCTTGCCCCATACCCAGCTGTCCAGAATTGACTTGGCCCTATATATAGGTGCAGGAGTTTCTTCTTCATCTTTTTTCTCTTTGTCATTCAGATCTTTCTTTGTCCCACTTGGTTCGACACTATCATCTGCAGAATTAAAAATTTTTTAATCTGTCACCGCTTTTCAGAATGTCATACCGTTAGCCTCTGCAAATGTCCCTCCCCGAAATGTTACAACACACATGATTAACTGAATGCTTGACAACTTAAAAATAAAATACATCAATCATACCTGTAACAGATCCAGTATAATTTTCATAAAGAAACCAATATATTGGCCGGGCGTGGTGGCTCATGCCTGTAATCCCAGCACTTTGGGAAGCCATGGCGGGTGGATCAGGAGGTCAGGATATCGACACCATCCTGGCTAACACGGTGAAACCTCGTCTCTACTAAAAATACAAAAAATTAGCTGAGCATGATGGCAGGCGCCTGTATTCCCAGCTACTCGGGAGGCTGAGGCAGGAGAATGGTGTGAACCTGGGAGGCAGAGCTTGCAGTGTGCTGAGATCATGCCACTGCACTCCAGCCTGGGTGACAGAGCGAGACTCCATCTCAAAAAAAAAAAAAAAGAAACCAATACAACAAATTATTTAAAGGATGTCTTCCAAAATGATATTCCATCTACTTCCTAGTACATTTCTTAACTGAGAAACTTAAGTCTTTCATATTTACCTACTTCAATTTCACACCAATTGCTTTTATCCAGTGAGTCTCAGTGCTTGTGTATCCATGGGAAAAGGGAGGGTGTAGAACAAGAGTATGATTCAAAAATCTTTTAACTCTTTACAAGGCCCTACTCCACTGCCAACTGGGAAGCACTGCTATGCAGGGGCACTGTCACTGCTGGCATAATTCAAGAGCACTGGGACACAAAGGAAAAGCTGAGAAAAATCACTTTAGGCCACTGACAATGTCAAGTTTCAGTCAAAAACAACTGTCATAAAACTCCTTACACAGTAAGCGAAGAGAAGAGAGAACTAACCTTAACCTTGAAGTGTAAACACACTCCATCACAGAAGGCTGTGACTAAATGTCTAACAACATAATTAGAAAAATGTATCTCAATCGGGGAAAGACATGATATCCCATCCAGATTACAAATAATGACTATCTAAAAATCTCGAAGGAAACAGTTCCTCTGTTTACAACACTTCTGACACCAAATGTATGGACTTTTGCACCAAGCAATTCTCCAGTTCTCTGCGACACCCAGCTTTGTGTCCCACAGTGCAATTCAATTCTGAAACTAACTACCTAGAATTAGCACAGACCCCACAGGTTAATAACAAGAGAGAAAAGGTGAATGCTGAAAAAAATATCCAAAGAACTAATGGCTGAAAACTTCCTAGGTTCAGCAAATGACATAAACCCAGGCAGACTGAAGAATCTGCACAAAGCCCACACAAGATAAATCCAAAGGAAGCCATGACGAGGCACATCATAATCAACTGCTAAACACTAAGGACAAAACCTTTTGAAAAGTGCCACGGAAAGTAGATACAGAAGAATTTCTCGTGTGGCCTGAAATTAAGACTAAATATTACGTGCTGCCTTGACATTGGTAAAATCAAGAAGGCCTCAAATAGCCTAACCACAAGGTCTCCCCTGAGCTCTGCTCTCACGGATAAGATCCCAAAGCCAAACAACCTCCTTATCGCGGAAACCCGACCCCAGCCTGCTCATCCCTGCCGGCCCAGAGTTATTCAAACAAGCCAGTCACATCTTCCCATGGAAGCAAGGTCATCTCACCCTCCTGTTACTACAAAATGTGCCTCCCACAGCCCCTCGTGGTTCGCTCTGTTCCCAAGTGCAGCCCCCGTGTGGCATGCGGTGTCCCCCACCCCAGGGCTGTGAGCATGCGTGACTAATAAACTGCTATTTCATCTGTCCAGTGTCGGTGTCCTACGTTCAGCCATCCCATATCCCTAGGGCAGGAATCTTCTAGGGTTATAAACAGAACTTTAATCAACCTCTCCTTGGTTATTTTACTGGTTCCATGATACAGCTTTTTCTGTGCAAAAGATCTGAACAGAAACTCACAGAGGATACAAGAGTGGCAAAAAAGAACATGATATTCAGCATTGTTAGCCATTACAGAATTGCAAATTAAAACCACAATGAGATCCCACTAGACTTGTTAGAATGGCTCAACTAAAAATCACTGATAACACCAAGTGCTAACAAAGACACAGAGCAACAGAAACGTGACAGATTGTCAGCGGGAATGCAAACTAAAACAGCCTCCAGTTTACCAAGGTAGACACCTCGAGTCACAGAATACAGAGTAGAACCCAGCCAGGAACACGGCTCAGGTGAGAACACAGGTGCTGGCTCTGAATGCCAGACTCTGCCGTGTGTGTGTGTGTGTGTGTGTGTGTGTGTGTGTGGTCACTAACCACAGCCCACAGGACAAACCCAGCCCACAGCCTTTTTGTGTATGGTCTGAACACAGAGAAAGTATTTTAGTTTTGTTGTTCTTTTGAGATGGAGTCTTGGCTCACCACAACCTCTGCCTCCCAGGCTCAAGCGATTCTCCCAGGTTCAAGTGATTCTCATGCCTCAACCTCCGAGGAGCTGGGATTACAGGGGTGCATCACCATGCCCGGCTAATTTTTTGTTTTCAGTAGAGATGGGGTTTCACCATGTTGGCCAGGCTGGTCTCGAACTCCTGACCTCAGGTGATCCGCCTGCCTCAGCCTCCAAAAGTGCTGGGATTACAGGTGTGAGCCACCACGCCCAGCCACCGTATTTTATAGTTTTTAATAATTGAAAAATAATCAAAAGAAAAACAGTATTTTGTGACTTGCAAACATTCTGTGGACTTCATCTTTTCGTGTCCATAAATAAAGTTTACAGAATGAACGTCCCCAGCCCGCTGACGTAGTATTGTCTGTGGCTACTCTGGCACTACAGCTGCAAGGTCCCATGGCTATGACAGAGACCATAGGGTCCATTGAGAGCTTAAAATATTTACTATCTGGCCCTTTACAGAAAGTAGGCCACCCCTACCCTACATCTGGCTATAAATTTTACAAATTTGACAAATTCTGAGACCCTGTCTCAGAAAATAAAATAAAATATTCATAGTCTTAATAATGGAAAACAAAAACATTTACTGAATGCCAAAACATCTCCCTAACAATCCCAATCAGTTGGGATCTACATAAAGAACAATTATGCTCTGCTTTCCAACCATGATTTTTAAAAGAACAAAAGACAAAAAAATTCATCAAATGTGGGCTGGGCATGGTGGCTCACACCTGTAAACCCAGCACTTTGGGAGGCCGAGGTGGGCAGATTATGAGGTCAGGAGTTCAAGACCAGCCTGACCAAGATGGTGAAACTCCGTCTTTACTAAAAATTCAACAATTAGCTGGGCATGGTGGAGGGCGCCTGTAATCCTAGCTGAGTACTCAGGAGGCTGAGGCAGAGAACTGCTTGAACCCGAGAGGAAGGGGTTGCAGTGAGCCAAAATCATGCCGCTGCACCCCAGCCTGAGCGACAGAACAAGACTCCCTCTCGAGAGGAAAAAACAAAAAAAATTCATCAAATGTAATGAATAAAACATATACTTTGGATTTTGCCATGTACTTAGCTTTTCTTAGAGCACCTTTTAGAACTATTGTTTCACAGAAAACACTTTGGGAAATGTTTTAATTTATAAACAAATACTGGAGGGCTAGGAAGAAGAGGTTAAAACTTTTTAAAATATACAGAATGAATTACTGATACAGAAAAACAAAAAAAGGTTGCTGATTCCTGTCTTGGAAGACACTGTCATATGGACACTCTTAGCCTCAGCATCCAGAGGTCCAGAAAGGGAAAATTTCAAGTCAGAGAGAATTCTATATATACCACTTACTTGGAACATTCAGCCCTCAAAATCCCAACATCATGACCTCAGTTTCAACACAATTGTCCTTAGTCCTTATGTCACTGCTTTTGGTGCTGCCTGCTGTCAAGGCAGTGGAAGCCAGTGATGCAACTGCTCTCTCGTTAAAAGGTGTGGTTCTCAGTATTACAGGTGTTCGTACTTGCTTGCGGGTATACGCACGAAAGATAAAAATGAACAGATGTGACTTTGAAGGGCCTAATGAATGAAACCTCACCCTGAAAACCTTTGTGCTACTGAAACTAAATGTAAGCTTTGGTGTCTGAAAGTTTCCAAGAATTAGTAAGTAGGAGAGTTTTACTTTCTGAGTTGATTCCATGAAATGGGAACAAATTGGTACATAAATGGATTTTGCCCAGAATCCTAGGAAATCGCCACTGTTCAGTCGTAATCACTGCCTCCTAAATCACTGAGTCTGTTCTCTGTATTTTTATTAGACTTTTGTCATCTCCCAAATTCAGATATCCAATAGTCAGCCAAAAAGGGAAACTTTTATCTCTGGAAAGAAAAAAAATCATTTAGAAAAATGTATTCAGTGTATCTAATACTGAAATGGAGAAAAGACTTAATGTTAAAGAAAAAAAAAAACACTATAGACATTGACATGGAAAAGAGATTTAATGTTAATAAAAACTTTATATTAACTGAGTAACACCTCCTGATGAGAAGTGCTATATTAAATATAAACCCATTATGTTGTTTAAAAAAAAAAAAACATGAAAATCAAAAGCACTAAACAGAGTGAAAGAAGCCAAGACACAGAAGAACCCGACTACATGATTCCATGTATGGAGTTCTAGAACAGGCGCAATTTGTCAATGCTGGAGAAACATCAGGCCAGCTATTGCCTCTGGGAAGAAGGGGCAGGACACCAGAGAACTTTCTGAGCAAGAGTCATGATAAAGATGTGGGTTACACGGGTTACATTTGTCAAAACTTGTGAAATGGTAAACTCAAAATAGATACATTTCATTATATATAAATTTTACCTGAAAGTCAAAAACAAAGTTGAACTAGAATCAATTACATACATGAGTGTCTAAGGAGCTAGGTGAGACAAACGGTGGATGGACAGACAGCAGGATGTGGAGCCAAATACGGTGGTAGAACATGGAGGTGGGTCTGCAGCCACTCACTGTACACGTCTGTCAGTTATTGTGTGTGTGTGTGTGTGTGTGAATATTTTCAAACAAATATAAAAAATAAATTAAAATAAAAACACAGGTAACTCTGCTTGACACTGAAACTGAAGAGGGAGACTAATACTTTTTCCCATGGTTTGTTTTGTGTTTTTTGTTTTTTTTTTTTTGAGATGGAGTCTCACTCTGTCACCCAGGCTGGAGTGCAGTAGCACAATATCTGCTCACTGCAACCTCCACCTCCCGGCTCCAAGCAATTCTCCTGCCGTGCCCTCCCAAGTAGCTGGGATTACAGGCGCCCGCCACTATGCCTGGCTAATTTTTGTATTTTTTAGTAGAGACGGGGTTTCACCATGTTGGCCAGGCTGGTCTCAAACTCCCAACCTCAAATGATCTGCCCGCCTCAGCCTCCCAAAGTGCTGGAATTACAGGCACGATCCACCGCGCCCGGTCCCCAAGTATTTTCAAGTGGACACCATCCCAATTCATTCCACAAAAGAAGAATAAATACTTGCCAGGCACGGTGGCTCACGCCTATAATCCCAGCACTTTGGGAGGCTGAGGCGGGCGGATCACGAGGTCAGGAGATTGAGACCATCCTGGCTAACACGGTGAAACCCTGTCTCTACTAAAAAATACAAAAAATTAGCCGGGCGTGGTGGTGGACACCTGCAGTCCCAGCTACTTGGGAGGCTGAGGCAGGAGAATGGCATGAACCCAGGAGGTGGAGCTTGCAGTGAGCTGAGATCGCGCCACTGCACTCCGGCCTCAGCGACAGAGCAAGACTCCTTCCCAAAAAAAAAAAAAAGAAGAAGAAATACTTTCTTCAGACTAATGCTCTCCCAACTGAGCTATTTCAACTTAGAATAAATACTTTCTAAAGTGGTAGCTTTATCCACGTTGATGACTCTCAAGCAGGGGGACCAACGAACTTCAACAGTGGTTCTCAACCAAGGATCTTTTCAGATTCAACAAGTTTAGGGTGTATACAAGCATCCATTTTTTTAAACCTCAATGGGGACTCTGAAACACAGCCACTGTTATGAACAACCCAATGATAGTCCTATTGAGCATGCAAAACTACAACGCTAAATAAGATTGTTCAATGGCATTTCCTTGCAGGCCAAAGGCTTCCAATAAGTGTTTAATACACCCCCAAAGAACACCACAAATGCAGCAAGACGGTTTTGCAATAAAAATGCCTTCAATTCACGTAAAACAATAAAATCCGGGCAGCTTGTATTAACTACCATTTTAGACAACAATCTCCAAAGTAAAAAGCAAAACTTCAAAGAGTTAAGCTCAAAGCTCCTGTTCCTATAGCACATTACAAAATTTCTATAAAATGCATTTTATAATGGTCTTTACCAAATAAAAAACACTAGTTAAAGGCCCTTACCTTTTCCAGGAGGGAGCTATCCGTTCTGGGTTGATTCTGTTCCAGTGTATACAATTTCTCCATCTTTAACCATTTCATTCCACAGACCACAGAGCCCATCTCTTGTGAATGCAAGCTGGCAATGATAAACGAGATAAGCTCACACTCACACTGCAATTTTTAAAGAATGATATGGGAAAAAATCTCAATCCCCCTTATGTATTCGATCATTCGGTAATAAAATCAATGATTTACTGAATTAGTGACTTAATCATTTTACATTTCATGAAAGTCATCCAAGAAATATAAATGAAAAGGTGCATAATAGTATAAATACTATTCTACCTCTTATGTAACATACAAGAAAAATGACACGTGGTCGGGCGAGGTGGCTCATGCTTGTCATCCCAGCACTTTGGGAGGCCGAGCGGGGCACATCACGGGGGATCAGGAATTTGAGACCAGCCTGGCCAACACGGTGAAACGCCGTCCCAACTAAAAATACAAAAAATTAGCCAGGCGTGGTGGCGGGCGCCTATAATCCCAGCTACTCACGAAGCCGAGGCAAGAGAATTGCTTGAACCCAGGAGGCAGAGGTTGCAGTGAGCCAAGATCGCGCCACAGCACTCAGCCTGAGTTGATAAGAGCGAGACTCGGTGTTAAAAAAAAAAAAAAAAGAAAAAAAAAAAAAAGAAAAAAGAAAAAAAAGACACACACACAAACACACACACGTGCATATGCTCTGAAAAGATAAACCGAAAGCAAGTACCAATGACTACCTACGGGGAAATGGGGAGGGGACATGGACAAAGGCAGCAGGACCAGAAAAAGCAACAACATTGTGAGTATACTTTAGATGTCTTTACTTCTGAAACATACATGACTTTCATCCTCAAAAATTAAAATTAAATCATAAAAAAGCAAAACCTACAACTGGCAACAAGCAAATTAACCCATGCATATACAAAGAAAAGTATGTCAAGGGACTTTTGAACTACATATCATTAATAGAATATACTATAATGAAAAATAAAATATTTATCGGTATTGATAACACTCTCACAATTTTAGAACTACTTCATGTTGCACAATAAAGCAGTGTAAATACAATAAAACATGTTTATGATAAAGTATTAAATGTTCTTAGAAATTAAGGTTTTAGGCCGGCCATGGTGGCTCACACCCGTAATCCCAGCATTTGGCAGGCCAAGGCAGGTAAATCACTTGAGATCAGGAGTTCATGACCAGCCTGGCCAACATGGTGAAACCCCATCTCTACTAAAAATATGAAAAATTAGCCGGGTGTGCTGGTGCATGCCTGTAATCCCAGTCACTCGGGAGGCTGAAGCAGAAGACTAGCATGAACCCAGGAGGCAGAGGTTTCAGTGAGCCGAGATTATGTCACTGTGCTCCAGCCTGGGTAAACAGAACGAGACTCCATCTCAAAAAAAAAAAAAAAAAAAAAAAAAAAAAAAAAAAAAAAAAAAAAATTAAGGTTTTCAGTGGAAAGGAGGAAAAAAAATCAAAGAAATTTTGAAAAACAACTTAAATTGGAAATCTATGAACTTTATTTTTGAATATATTTGCTTACTCTGTTTTTTAAAGGACTAGAATCAAAGGCAATCTGACAGCGGCACCCAGATTTTGGTCTCTTAGAACCATTTCCCGATAAAAGACGCTAGGGCTCTTGGGAAAATAAGTAGATTCAAGGGCCAGGGCAGACAAAGATGAGCCTGTTTCCTCAAAGAAAAAGCTGTTTCCTCAAACATGGCCAGGTGCGGTGGCTCACGCCTATAATCCTAGCATTTTGGGAGGCTGAGGCGGGCAGATCACTTGAGGTCAGGAGTTCGAGACCAGCCTAGCCAACATGCCGAAACCCCATCTCTTCTAAAAATACAAAAATTAGCTGGGCATGGTGGCAGGCGCCCATAATCCCAGCTACTTGGGAGGCTGAGGCAGGAGAATAGCCTGAACCCAGGAGGCGGAGGTTACAGTGGGCCAAGACTGTGCCACTGCACTCCAGCCTGGGTGACAGAGCAAGACTTTATCTCAAAAAAAAAAAAAAAAAAAAAAAAAAAAGCAGCTGTTCAAAGACGATAGGGACTCCTGGCCAAATTTATAATAATTATAATAACTGTGAGCATCAAAATCAAAAACGCCTTTGCTTGTCAACATTTGTGAGTCAGAAAAGGCTTCCCAGAACAGGAAAAGGGAGCATTTCAGACACTGGGGGAAGGCATCCATTCTGAAAACTGCGTATGTGACAGAAGCTCCCTTGTCTGGCAAAACAAAAGCCATTTTTAATTAAAAGAGACAGATGTTTGCCCATCTTTTTTTTTTTTTAACTTCTGTGGATACACACTAGTTGTATGTATATATATATGGGTTATATATTCTATCTAACTCTTTTTTTTTTTGGAGACGGATCTCGTTCTGGCACTAAGCTGGAGTGCAGTTGTGCGATCTCAGCTCACTGCAACCTTTGCCTTCTGGGTTCAAGGGTTTCTCCTGCCTCAGCCTCCCGAGTAGCTGGGACTACAGGCTCACACCACCACACCCAGCTAATTTTTGTATTTTTGGTAGAGATGGGGTTTCACCGTGTTGGCCAGGATGGTCTGGGTCTCTTGACCTCATGATCCACCTGCCTTGGCCTCCCAAAGAGCTGGGATTACAGGCGTAAGCCACTGTGCCCAGCCCTATCTAACTCCATTTTTATACCCATTAACCATCCGCACTTCACCCCCACTTTATCCTTCCCAGTCTCTGATAACCATCATTCTACTCTATCTCCATGAGTTCAATTACTTTCATTTGCTTAGCACCTACAAATAAGTGAGAACATGCAAAGTTCGATTTTCTGGGTCTGGCTCATGACATTCTGTTCCTGACTTAACATAACGACCTCCAGTTCTATCCATGTTGTTGCAAACGGCAGTATCCCATTCTTTTTCATGGTTGAATAGTACTCCGTTGAGTATATATACCACATTTTCTTCATCCATTCATCTGCTGGGAACACTTAGGTTGCTTCCAAATCTTGGCTATTGAGAATAGTGCTGCAATAAACATGAGAGTGTACATATTTCTTCAACATACTGATATTCTTTCCTCTGGGTATATACCTACCAGTGGGATTGCTGAATCATATGATAGTCCTATTTTTAGTTTTTTGAGGAACCTCCAAGCTAATCTCCATAATGGCTGTGCTAATTTACATTCCCACCAACAGTGCACAAGGGTTCCCTTTTCTCTATATTCTTGCCAGCATTTGTTCTTGTCTTTTGGATATAAGCCATTTTAATTAGGGTGAGATAATATCTCATTATAGTTTTGATTTGCATGTCTCTGATGACCAACCATGTTGAGCACCTGTTCGTATTGCCTGTTTGTCATTTGTATATCTTCTTTTGAGAAATGTCTATTCAAATCTTTTGCCCATTCTTATTGGATTATTAGATTTTTTTCCTATAGAGTTGCTTAAGCTAATTATATATTCTGGTTATTAATCCTTTGTCAGATGGGTAGTTTGCAAATATTTTCTCCCATTCTGTGGGTTGTCTCTTCATTTTGTTGATTGTTTCCTTTGCTGTGCAGCTTTTTAACTCAATGTGATCCCACTTGTCCATTTTAGCTTTGGTTGCCTGTGTTTACGAACTATTACTCAAGAAATCATTACCCAGTGCAATGTCCTGGAGAGTCTCCCCAATGTTTTCTTTTAGCACTTTCATAGTCTGAAGTCTTAGGTTTAAGTCTTTACTCCATTTTGATGTGATTTTCGTATATGGTGAGAGATAGTGGTCTAGTTTCATTTTTCTGCATATGGGTGCCCCATTTTCCCAGCACCATTTATCAATGAGGCTATCCTTTCCCTCATGTATCCTCCGGGCACCTCTGTCAAAGGTGAGTTCACTGTAGATGTATAGATCTGTTTCTGGGTTCTCTATTCTGTTCCATTGGTCTAGGTGTCTGTTTTTATACCAGTACCATGCTGTTTTGGTATACCTTTCTAGTAAACTTTGCACTTGATCTAAGCCAAAAAAGACCAGGAAGTGACTGTAGTATAATTTTAAGTCAGGTAATGCAATTTCTCCAGTTTTGTTTTTTGCTCAGGATGGCTTTGGCTATTCTGTCTCTTGTGATTCCATACAAATTTCAGGATTTTTTTTTCTATTTCTGTGAAGAATGTCATTGGTATTTTGATAAGGATTACATTGAACCTGTAGATTGCTTTGGGTAGTACAGACATTTTAACAGTATTGATTCTTCCAATCCATGAACACAGAGTATCTTTTCCTTTTCTGTGTGTCTTCTTCAATTTTCTGCATCAATGTTTTACAGTTTTCGTGGTAGAGATCTTTTCACTTCTTGGGTTAGGTTTATTCCTACGTATTTTACTTTATTTGTAGCTATTATAAATGGAATTATTTTTCTTGATTTATTTTTCATATTGTTCACTGTTGACATATAGAAATGCTACTGATTTGGCTGGGCAAAGTGGCTCATACCTGTAATCCCAGCACTTTGGGAGGCCGAGGCAGGCGGATCACCTGAGGTCAGGAGTTCGAGACCAGCCTGGCCAATGTGGTGAAACCCTGTCTCTACTAAAAATACAAAAATTAGCCAGGCCTGGTGGCAGGCGCCTGTAATCCCAGCTACTCAGGCGGCTAACACAGGCGGATCGCTTGAACCCAGGAGGCAGAGGTTGCAGTGAGCCGAGATTGTGCCATTGCTTTCCAGCCTGGGCCACAGAGTGAGACTCCATCTCAAAAAAAAAAAAAAAAAAAAAAAAAAAAAAAAAAAAAAGAGAGAGAGAGAGAAATGCTACTGATTTTTGTATGTTAATTTAGTATCCTGCAATTTTACTGAATTTATCAGTTCTAATCATTTTTTGGTGGAGTTTTTAGGTTTTTCCAAATATAACAATCATCTGCAAACAAGAGTAACTTGGCATCTTCATTTCCAATTTGGATGCCCTTTATTTCTTCTTCTTTTTTTTTTTTTCTGAGATGGAGTCTTGCTCCATAGCCCAGGCTGGAATATAGCGGCACAATCTCAGCTCACTGCAATCTCCACCTCTGGGGTTCAAGTGATTTCCCTGCCTCAGCCTCCCGAGTAGCTGGGACAACAGACACCCGCCACCACGCCTAGCTAATTTTTATATTTTTAGTAGAGATAGGGTATCACCATGTTGGCCAGGCTTCAAACTCCTGACCTCAAGTGATCCACTCACCTCAGCCTCCCAAAGTGCTGGGATTACAGGTGTGAGCCACTGCACCCGGCCTTTCTCTCTCTTATCTGACTCCTCTAGCAAGGGCTTCCATTATTATATTGAATAACAGTGGTGACAGTGGGCATCCGTGTCTTGTTCCAGATCTTAGAGGAAAGGCTTTCAGTTTTTCACCTTTCAGTATGATACTAGCTGTGTGTCAGTTGTATATGGCTTTTATTGCGTTGAGGTGTGTTCCTTCTATAACCAGTTTTTTGGGGTTTTTATCATGAAAGGATGTTGAATTTTATCAAATGCCTGTTCAGCATGAATTTAAATGATCATATGGTTTTTTATCCTTCATTCTATTGATATGATGTATCAAACTGATTGATTTGGATATGGTGAACCATCCTGGCATCCCTGGGATAAACCCCACTTTGGTCATGATGAACGACGTTTCTAATGTGTTGTTGAATTCGGTTTGCTGATATTTTGTTGGGTATTTCTGCATCAATGTTCATCTGGGATACTGGCCTGTTTTGTTTTTTTGATTATGTCTTTGTCTGGTTTTGGTATCAGGGTAATATTGGCCTTCTACAATAAGTTTGGAAGTATTCCCTCCTCCTCTATTTTTCAGAATAGTTTCACTAGGATTGGTAATAGTTCTTCTTTAAATGTTTGGTAAAATTCAGCAGTGAAGTCACTGGGTCCTGGGGTTTTTCTTTGCTGGAAGACTTTTTATTATTACAGTTTCAATCTCATTACCTGTTATTGGTATGTTCAGGTTCTGGATTTCTTCATGGTTCAAACTTGGAAGGCTGTATGTGCCTGTGAAATTATCCATTTCTTTTTCCTTCTTTTTTTGAAGACACAGTCTCACTCTTTCACCCAGGGTGGAGTGCAGTAACATGATCTCAGCACACTGCAACCTCCCCCTCCCAGGGCTCAAGTGACTCTCGTGCCTCAGCCTTCCAAGTGGCTGGAATTACAGGCACGCAAAACCACACCTGGTTAATTTTTGTATTTTTAGTAGAGATGGAGTTTCACCATGTTGGCCAGACTGCTCTCAAACTCCTGACCTCAAGCGATCCACCCGCCTCAGCCTCCCAAGGTGCTGGGATTACAGGTATGAGCCACCACGCCCAGCCTGCAAACTTATCTATTTCTTCCATGTTTCCCAATTTATTGACATATAGCTGTTCATAGTCTCTAATGACCCTTTGAATTTCTGCAATATCAGTTGTAATGCCTACTTTTTCACCTCTGATTTGGGTCTTCTTTTTCTCTTAGCCTGCCTGAAAGCTTGTCAATTTATCTTTTAGAAAAACCAACTTTTCATTTCATTGATCTTTTGTATTATTTTCTTCATTTCAACTCCATTTTATTTCTGCTCTAATTTTTATTATTTCTGTCCTTAAAATTATGGGTTTGGTTAGCTCCTTCATTTCTAGTTCTTTAAGATGTATCATTAGGTTATTTATTTGAAGTTTTTCTACTTTTTTGATTTTCCTCTTAGTATTGCTTTCACTATATCCCACAGGTTTCGTATGCTGTGCTGCCATTGCCATTTGCTTCAAGAAATTGTTTAATTTCATTCTTAATTTCTTCACTGACCTGTTGGTCATTCAGGAGCATATTGTTTAATTCCCATGTGTTGGTGGAGTTTCCAAAATTCCTCGTTATTGATTTTTAGTTATAGTCCATTGTGATCAGAGAAGATACTTAACATAATTTTTTTAACTTTAATATGGCAAAAGAGGAATCTAGCTTCATTCTTCTGCATATGAATATCAAGTTTTCCCAACACCATTTATTGAAGAGATTGTCTTTTCCCCAGTGTTTGTTCTTGGTACCTTTGTCGAAAATGAGTTCACCGTAGATGTGCGGATTTGTTTCTGGATTCTCTATTCTGTTCCGTTGGTCTGTGTCTGTTTTATGCTAGTACTATGCTGTTTTGGTTACTATAGCTCTGTAGTATAATTTGAAGTCAGGTAATCTGATTCCTCCAGTTTGTTTCTTTTTAATTACGAGAGCTTCGGCTATTCTGGGTCTTTTGTGGTTCAACATGAATTTTAGGATTTTTTTTTTTTCTGTTTCTGTGAAGAATGTCATTGGTATTTTGCTAGGGATTGCACTCAATCGGTAGATTGCTTTGGGTAGTATGGACATTTTAACAATATTGATTCTTCCGATCCATGAAGATGAAATATTTTTCCATCTTTTGTGTCCTCTTTAATGTCTTTCATCAGGGTTTTAGAGTTTTCATTACAGAGATCTTTGTAATTATCTTCTTTGGTTACTTCCCAGGTACTTAATTTCATGTGTGGCTACTATAAATGGGATTAGTTTTCTAATTTTTTTCATATTGTTTACTGTTGGCACACAGAAATGCTACTGATTTTTGTATGTTGATTTCGTATACTGCAACTGTACTGAATTTATCAGCTCTAATCATTTTCTTGTGGAGTCTTTAGGTTTTTCCACATATAAGATCATATCATCTGCAAACAAGGATAATTTGACTTCTTCCTTTCCAATGTGGAGGCCTTTTATTTCTTTCTCTTGTCTGATTGCTCTAGCAAGAACTTCCAGTACTATGTTGAATAACGGTGGCCACACTGAGCATCCTTGTCATGTTCCAGATCTTAGAGGAAAGACTTTCAGTTTTTCACCATTCAGTATGATACTAGCTGTGGGTCTGTCATATACGGCTTTTATTATGTTGAGGTATGTTTCTTCCATAATCAGTTTTAAGAGATTTTATCATGAAAGGATGTTGAATTTTATCAAATGCCTTTTCAGCATCGACTGAAATAATCACATGGTTTTTATCCTTGACATGATGTGTCACATCGATTGATTTGCATATGTTGAACCATCCTTGTACCCCAGGGATAAACCCCACTTCATCACAATGAACGATCTTTCTAACGTATTGCTGAATTTGGTTTGCTAGTATTTTGTTGAGGATATTTGCATCAATATTCATCAGAGACATTGGCCTGTAGTATTCTTTCTTTGACGTGTCTTTGTCTGCTTTTAGTATCAAGGTTTCAATTTTTAATGACTTATTTTGTGGCCTAACATATGGTCTAACCTTGAGGACGATCCATGTGCTAAAGAGAACAATGTAAATTCTGCAGCCATCAGATGAAATGTTCTAGAAATATCTATTAAATCCATTTGGTCTACAGTGCAGATTAAGTTTGATGTTTCTTCGTTAATTTTGTCTGGATGATCTGATCTGTCCAATGCTGAAGTGGAGTGTTGAAGCCTCCATCTATTAATGTATTAACGCCTCTCTCTCTCTTTAGCTGTAATATTTGTTTTATGTATCTGGGTGCTCTAGTGTTGAGTGCATATATACATATATTTATAATAGTTATAGCCTCTTGCTGAATTGGCCCCTTTATCATTACATAATGACTTTTTTGGTCTCCTTTTATAGTTTTGGTCTTGAAATCTATTTGGTCTGATATAACCGCTATGCTCTTTTGTGATTTCCATTTGCCTCTCCCTTTTTCCATCCCTCTGCACCGTCCTGAAGAGATGGTCTCCAATCTGAAGAAGCAAGCAGCCAATGAACTGCCCGTGGGGAGGGGCAGCCTCCAAGAGCCCAGGGTTTCAGTCCCACAACCACAATGGATTCAATTCTACCAATGAGGACCTGAGCTCCAGATGACAGCGTGCCCTAGCCAACACCTTGACTACAGCCTGTGACACCTGAAGTAGAGGATAGAACTAAGCTATGGCCAGACTCCTGACCCACAGAAACTGTGAGAGTGTAAATGCTTGTTGTTACAAGCTGCCAAATTTGTGTTTGGTAACTTGTTCTGTAGCGACAGAAACCAAGCCAGCATCCTTCAGTTTTTGTAGAAGGAACAGCTTTCTCTCAGCACTGTTATTTTTTCTGTTCACATCACTAACAGGATAACTGCCATAAACATACTTGGAACCAAAACATATGACTTTTGGTAAAAATATCAGCTGGTGGGGGAGAGGTAAACTCCTTCCTAAAAAGTGAGCCCTGGCCAGGTAGAGTGACTCACATCTCTAATCCCAGCACCTTGGAAGACTGAGGCAAGAGAATCACTTGTGCCCAGGAGTTCAAAACCAATCTAAGCAACATAGCAAGACCCTGTCTCTACAAAAAAATTGTAAAATTAGCCAGAAAGCTGGGCATGGTGGCTCACACCTGTAATCCCAGCACTTGGGAGGCCACGGCAGGTGAATTGTTTGAGCTCAGGAGTACAAGACCAGCCTGAACAACATGGCAAAACCGCATTTCTACCAAAAATACAAAAAATTAGCCAGAGGTGGTGGCGCGCCTGTACTCCCAGCTACTTGGGAGGCTGAGGTGGGAGAACTGCTTGAGACCAGGAGGTAGAGGCTGCAGTGAGTTGAGATCACTCCACTGTACTCCAGCCTGGGCAATAGAGCAAGACCCTGTCAAAAAAAATTTTTAATTTAAATTTAAAAAATTAAAATAATATAAAAAATAAAATTAAAAAGTGAGCCAAAAACATTCAGGGCCCCTGAAGTTTAACGAGTGAATGGAAAGCTTTGACTCTTCTAGTCTTCAGTCAGAGGAGAGCAGTGAATACGTGCACTGGGGTTCAGTCCAAACCCTACCACAATGCACATGATAAGAGGCTAACAGTGGTCAGAACTCACAGCTCCATGTGGGCCGTGCTCCAGGAGTTTCAGACTATCTTTAGGCACTCAAGGGAATATGACATTTGACCCATGTCTTAAAGTGTTTCAGAAAACAGAAACAGAGAAGGTGAACTAAGAAGCTATTACTGGCCAGGCACGGTGGCTGACGCCTGTAATCCCAGCACTTTGGGAGGCCGAAGCGGGTGGATCATGAAGTCAGGAGATAAAGACCATCCTGGCTAACACAGCGAAAACCCATCTCTACTAAAAATACAAAAAATTAGCCAGATGTGGTGGCACGCACCTATAGTCCCAGCTACTCGGGAGGCTGAAGCAAGGGAATTGCTTGAACCTGGGAGGCGGACGTTGCAGTGAGTGGAGATCGCACCACTGCACTCCAGCCTGGGTGACAGAGTGGGACTGCATCTCAAAAAAAAAAAAAAAAAAAAAGGCTATTACCAAGGGTCCAAAAAAGAAAGGATGACAGCAGAAGTCAACACAGGGAAGTACAGTCTTTAAGATTATTTCAGGCAGGGCACGGTGGCTCACATTTGTAATCCCAGCAGTCTGGGAGGCCGAGGTGGGCAGACTGCTTGAGCCCAGGAGTTCGAGACCAGCCAGAGCAACATGGTGAAACCCGGTCTCTACAAAAAATACAAAAATTAACCAGGCGTGGTGGTACGCACCTGTAGTCCCACTACTCAGGGGGCTGAGGTGGGAGGATCATCTGAGCCCGGGGAGGTTAAGGCTGCAGTGAGCCGTGACGGTGCCACTGCATTCCAGCCTGGGCAACAGAGTGAGACCCTGACTTAAAAAACAAAAAAAGAAACTATTTCAAATCACGTAAGTTAAATCAAATGTGAAAGGGAAAATAAGGGAGGGAACAGAAGAGGAATGAGAATTAGTTCCGTTTTAACCACTAAGATTTGCACTAACTACTGAACATAAACATGGAGCTCCTCCCCACTCCACCAACCCTCAGTAAATATAGATCCAGATCTTAGCAGAGTGTTCAGGGCTAGAGACTCAAATCTGGGAGTAGTCAACAAATGGACTGTAGGTGATGTCCTGGAGAAGATGCCAACACCCAAGCAGAGAGGGGAGACCCCTGCCCAGCCCTGAAAGCACTCTAAGATCGCCCCAGACTGGCTGGGCTCCACACATCAGTGTTCTGCGGTACAGCCTAGATTGAGAAACATTAGTGTTACAGAGGTACCATTTAAAAAAAAAAAGCCAAAAGATGGAACATTTAAAGACTAAGCCAAGGAGGAAGCCCAGTTTACATGGAAACAAGAATAATTACCACCACCTTTCGATTATTACCTGGGTAGCACTGGGAAGGAAGAGGATAGGCCAGACCTTGTCCTTCTGAGTAACAAGGAATTCTTTTTTGGAAGGTAGACACTGGACTCCTGGAAGGACATGCACTGTGGAAGCCTCCTAGGAACTGATGACCCAAATAAATGGTAAGCACCATTCAAAAAACTATTTGGGCACCTTAAAGGTGGAACATTACTAAAGCAATAAAGCAAGCCTCACTGGAGGAGGTCTCCAGAGAGTTAGACTGTGAACAAGCAAAAGTGAAGCCCAGGAGAAGAGCTCTCCAGATCACAGACAGTACAGGATCCTGACTGAGGAAGCAGCAGCCTGGGAACAACTGGAAGACAGCCGTGGCACTGAGAAGAATGGAGACTACAGGCAGGGCATGGTGGCCCACGCCGTAATCCCAGAGCTTTGGGAGGCCAAGACAGAAGAACTGCTTGAGGCCAAGAGTTCAAGATCAGCCTGGGCAACATGGTAAGACCGTGTCTCTACAGAAATGTAAAAATTACCCAAGTGCATGGCACGTGCCTGTAATCCCAGCTACTCAGGAGGCTACAGCAGGACGGTCACCTGCACCCAGGAGTTTGAGGTTACAGTAAGCTCTGATCACACCACAGCATTCCAACCTGGGTGACAGAGGCCCTATTCATTTAAAAAAAAAAAAAAAAGAAAGAAAAAGAAAAAAATGAATGGGACTTTCCATTTGTAAAGTGAGAGTATTTATTTCTACAACTGTCTCCAATTAGCTTTTTATTAGTAGCTGACTTACCTAAACGTGCCCAGTAGCTTTTCAACTTTTGACTTTTTTGGTTCAGATCCCAGAAGCTTCTAATTAGGTTATTTGGGCTAAGAACTCTTTTCCAATCTTTTCCAATCTCACATTCCTATCTTACACCTCTGAAATGACATGGCAAGTAAAGGCACTTTCATCATCAAAAGACCCCAGCAAAAGAGGCAGTAACAGGCTCACTTTTTGTAAGTTACTAAACTGAAGCTCAGAAGGCCAATGACTTGACCAAAGGCCACACAACACTGAGGCTGTGAGAGGCGGGATTTGGGAAGAGGCCCAACTCCAAGGCTTATTCGCTTCCCACCAACACCATAACATGCACCCACACCTGCAGCACGGCAGCCAGGGCAAGCCTTCACGCTCCCATACATAGGCCACCAATATTTTAATACCAATCAGGACTAGGCAAGCAAACAGTTAAGGCTTTTTTTTTTTTTTTTTTTTTTTTTTTTTTGAGACAGAGTCTTGCTCTGTCGCCCAGGCTGGAGTGCAGTGGCGCCATCTTGGCTCCCCGGGTTCATGCCATTCTCCTGCCTCAGCCTCCCGAGTAGCTGGGACTACAGGCGCACGCCACCACACCCGGCTAATTTTTTGTGTATTTTTAGTAGAGACAGGGTTTCACCGTGTTAGCCTGGATGGTCTCGATCTCCTGACCTTGTGATCCACCCGCCTCGGCCTGGGATTACAGGCGGGAGCCACCGCACCCAGCCCGTTAAGGCATTTATTAAAGTGACTTCAGAACTATAGAGTCAGGCAATAAAATCCAAAACTGAATAATATAACAAATGAATATCTGATTAATGTATAGGTTAGAAAATGTTTCTTTTTCATGTCCTTACAATTTGACAGAAAAGTAATCTTCAAATATTTGCAGATGAGTAAAGGTATACGGCTTTTTTTCTTAAACCTACAGAAAAATACTAAACACCTACTGAACGTAGGACAACATATGAAAAAATGTTAAGAACAGGTTCCTAGAACAATTAGAAAGGTCAGACAGGAACATTAAGTACGTCGATTTGAAGACATCCTAGAAGCAGCAAGGGAGTGAGGTCTTCCTAAAGTCTAAGACCCACGAGAGGAGGAAAGAGGCCCAGAGAACCTAAGCACGCAGGGATGAGACTGAGAAGCAAAACGGAGCTTCTGAGAGACTCCCAGGGCCCTCATACAGGAGAAAGAGGCCTGGCAGATCCCATGCTCTGAGCTGGAACCTCAAAGGGCCACACACCAGAAATACAGGTGAGTTAGAAGTAGACCAGCCTTCACGGAAAACCAGCCCAGTTTCGCATTCTCTCAATTTCCAAAGGGACTGCAGTGACCTGAGATTGCCTAGAACATCCTCTCTGGAGGAAGATATTGTTACCTAGAGCCTCGATTTATTGCTACAATATTGCATATACAATATCTGAAAGTCAAGCAAATATAATAATGACAAAGATACAAGACCACATCATTGAAAAATGAAAAAAAAATAGAAGTCATTAGAACAGACCGAGTAGATCCTGAAAACAGAAACATAAAGACTTCTGTCATGAAAGAAGAGCCTGAGGAATGAACTGAAGTGTTGACACTCTGCTCAGCAGATGTCAGCTCGGGGCAATGGGGTGAGGGAAGTGGGAAAGCGAGACAAGGAGATCAATGAAGTAACGATATGCAGTATATGACTTCACAGTCAGCTAAGTGTGATTTTAGCCTACTCTGCCTATGTAGGAGCCATTCTTATTTCCTTTAATTTCCTAAAAAAAGAAAAATATATATTAAAAAAGAGTGATTTTATATTTTTCAATGGTTGCCACATAATCAAAAGAATCATATGTCAGCCAAGCACGGTGGCTCACACCTGTCATCTCAGACTTTGGGAGGCCAAGGCAGGCGGATCACGAGGTAAGGAGTTCACGACCAGCCTGGCCAACATGATGAAACCCCATCTCTACTAAAAATACAAAAAAAAAAATTAGTGAGGCATGATGGTACACGCCTGTAATCCCAGCTACTCCAGAGTCTGAGGCAGAACAATTGCTTAAACCCAGGAGGTGGAGGTTGCAGTGAGCCAAGATCGCGCCACTGCACTCCAGCCTGGGCAACAGAGCAAGACTCCCTCTCAGAAAAAAAAAAAAAAAAAAAAAATCATATGTCAACAAATGAAAATTATATGACATTCAAATTCTGGTATCCACAAAGTTTTCCTGGAATATAGCCATACACATGTTTGGCAGCTTCTCGCAGGACAATGGCCAAGGTGAGCTGTTCTAAAAGAGCACGTACGGCCCACATAAACATTTACTATCTGGTGCTTTACAGAAAAAATGTGCTGACCCCTATGTTAGTGCCACCTCTTCTCAATGAGCTGCAAATACAACCAACTGTTCAGCCAGCACATTCACTAGGCATATGTGGCTTTTCCAGAAGGTTTGCAAGAAGAAACTACACCATAAAATAGTCCAAAGAGGAAAGAAAAAAGGGAGGAATAAAAACACTGAGTTCCCTCATCTCTCCTTGTAAAGTGGTGAACGTTCATACCACAAGGAATTCACACCCACACACACTCGCCACACCTTCCAGGCTGTGTCACTGGCTCCTTGGTAGGCAGTCAGGAAGCCATATTCCAACTCTCTTGCGTGACATCACAGCGGAGACTGGAGCTGAAGGGCGGCTCACAGGCATGAGTCAGCCAAGAGGGACAGAGAGAGGCGGCTAAGGAATCTATGGGGTCGGACAAGGTTTATAAACACACTTTTAAAATAACTACCTTTAATAGAGTCAAGCAATTAAAAGATCCTATTAACAGCCGGGCACGGTTCATGCTTGTAATCCCAGCACTTTGGGAGGCCAAGGCAGGCGGATCACGAGGTCACGAGTTCAAGACCAGCCTGGCCAATCTGGTGAAACCCCGTCTCTATTAAAAATACAAAAATTAGCCAGGTGTGGTGGCGGGCACCTGCAGTCCCAGCTACTTGGGAGGCTGAGGCAGGAGAATCACTTGAACCCAGGAGATGCAGGTTGCAGTGAGCCGAGATTGTGCCACTGCACTACAGCCTGAGCGACAGAGCGAGACTCCTTGTCAAAAAAAAAAAAAAAAAAAAAAGATCACATTAACAATTTCAACACAGAAGTTGAAACTAGAAAAAAGTACCTAAAGTGGCAGTTAAAGAAACTGTCAAACATTTCAAACTAAACATTTTAAAGGGATGTGTTTAATATAATTATACCTCAATAAAGTTGATATGTTTAAAAAATGGAAATTCTGGAATAGAAAAATATAATAGTAAAATTTAAAACTCAATGGATTTGATTAAAAACAGATTGGGAAGGCCTGTGCTTCCTCCACCTATAAAGGATGAATTCTGTAGAAATCACTTCCTTGCTATAATCAACTAGAAAACCAGACAGAATATACCGAAAAGCTGTTACCAAAAACTGGACAACAGACAGCCCAGAGCTGGGATCCCTGAGAGAAGGGAAACACTGCCCAGAAGCAGCTTCCAGGCTGCAGCACAGGAAAGGGGAACCCAAATAGAGCCCAAAGAACTTGCTGAGCTCAGGAGACAGATCAGCTATACGTAGGCCAAATGACAAGAATACAGCAAGCTCCAGAGATGAGTGGAGGGGCCCCTTGAGTATCTGTCTGAGTACTACTCTGAGCATAGGTTAAGAAAACTATGGAATACTGGGGAAAGCAGCACTAGAAAGTAATAAGGAGCATTGCCATGATGCACAGTCTGGGAAAAGCCTGTGTTTCCACAAACAAGGACAGAAAGATCTTCTCATACACCAAGCATCAGGTGGAGTCCTGAGAACAGTATTGCCTTCGTTGTATGGATAAATGAGCCCAAGAGTAAAGCCTGTGTGGATCAGCCTAACAAACCTCAGAATCAAGCTTTGAAAAGATCAAACTGACCCCATGTAACTTACATGTATGGCAGAAGAAAACTAAGGCTCTTTAAAAAAATAAAATCCTGCACAGAAGATAAAATTAATGCCTAGCATTCAATCAAAAATTAGCAGGCATACAACCATGCCCCCATAACTAGGGCAATCAATCAATAGAAATGACAGAATCAATCAACAGAGATGGATCTAGAAGTGATCAGAGATTACAGAATTCACAGACAAGGACATTAAAAGCTCTCTTACAGAAATGCTCCCTATACTAATAGAAGGAAAGCATGAATGTTATAAGGAGTGAAACAGAAGATATAAAAAGGACTCAAATGGAATCTCTAGAAATGAAAATACAAAATGGATGGATGAGATTAACAGAACTGCATAACAGTTACAACCATAATCTACAATGTCTAAGCACATGGCTATGCCATGCTCTCTCCCTTAACACTCATGCAGTCTAGGTTTAAAAAATAACTGTTTCATGCCCATCATCAGTTGCAGGTTGATCTACAGTCATCCAGTTGTCTAAAGATCTTTCTCCACTCCATTCCTAAGGAAGGGCTCATGAGAACAATACTTCCTAAGTTACAGCTCACTGAGAAGTTTGTGTGTTTTTCATCTGAAAAGTCGGTTTTGCTGGAACAAAAAATGCTTTACTCACATTTTCTTTTCTTGAGTGCCTTAAACAGGATACTCAATTTCTTCTTCATAAAGAATTGTCATCTGCTGGGCTCAGTGGCTCACTGCTGTAATCCCACCACTCTGGGAGGCCAAGGCAGGTGGACTGCCTGAGCTCAGGAGTTCAAGACCAGCCTGGGCAACATGGTGAAACCCCATCTCTACTAAAAATATAAAAAATTATCTGGGTGTGGTGGTGCACACTTGGAATTCCAGCCACTTAGGAGGCTGAGGCACGAGAATGGCTTGAACCTGGGAGGTGGAGGTTGCAGTGAGCTGAGATAGTGCCACTGTACTCCAACCTGGGCAACAGAGTGAGACTCTGTCTCAAAAAAAAAAAAAAAAAAAAGGAATTGTCATCAAAGTCCTACGGCTAAACCCTTTTCCTTTTTTTTATAACAAGTATTGCTAGTCTTTTCCAAGAACCAAAGTTAAAAGTTAGTTCTTTAAAACACCAGGCCAGGCACAGTGGCTCACACATCTAATCACAGCACTTTGGGAGGCCAAGGCAGGAGGATCACTTGAATGCAGAAGTTCTAGACCAGCCTGGACAACAAAGCAAGACCCTGCCTCTACAAAAAACTTTTTTTTTTGCTGCAAAATGCTCTTAATTAACCTGACAAAATGCCACATACAGGGTTACTGCATCTTTTTTATCATGGAATTTTGAAAACAAAAATTGTTCTCTTGAGGCAGCAGTATTTGGATATTAGAGGTAAAAACCACCCTTAGAATCCAGTCCTAAAAACATCAATGAATATTCCTATATTTACAAATTCTTCTATTTCTACATGTCATCTATCAACAGGATTATGAACCTGAAAGCCTGAGAATAGAATTTATCAAGATACTCATGTTTGTACTTTTTTTATCTACTGCCCTTTTTTATTTTTTTTGAGACAGATTCTCGCTCTCTCACCAGGCTGTAGTGCAGTGGCGCGATCTCAGCTCACTACAACCTCCGCCACCTGGGTTCAAGCGATTCTCCTGCCTCAGCCTCCTAAGTAGCTGGGACTACAGGCACGTGCCACCACACCCAGCTAATTTTTGTATTTTTAGTAGAGATGGGGTTTCACCATGTTGGCCAGGATGACCTCGATCTCCTGACCTCAGCCTCCCAAACTGTTAGGATTACAGGCTAAGCCACCACACCCGGCCATCTACTGATATTTCTAAGCATGAAGTGACATTTTTTTTTTTTTGAGAAGGAGTCTTGCTGTGTTGGCCAGGCTGGAGTGCAATGGCATGATCTCGGCTCACTGCAACCTCCACCTTCTGGGTTCAAGCAGTTCTCCTGCCTCAACCTCCCAAGTAGCTGGGATTACAAGCGCACACCACCACACCTGGCTCATTTGTATTTTTAGTAGAGACAGGGTTTCACCATGGGGGCCAGGTTGGTTTTGAACTCCTGACCTCAAGTGATCCGCCCTCCTCGGCCTCCCAAAGTGCTGTGATTACAGGCGTGAGCCACCGCGCCCAGCCGAAGTGACAATATTTATATACAATAAGTTTAACTGTAAAAGCTTACATTTATGCGTGGTCATTTTTAATTGATGATTAGATGAAGAGACAAATAAATGGTCCCAGTTTAGCTACTGATATACTCAACAAACCTTGACGGACCTGAGGGCATTATGCTGAGTAAAGAAAATCATTTCCGAAGGTCACATATCACTTGGTAATCTCACAGTAACAAAATTATAGAGATGGAGAACAGATCAGTGGTTGGCAGGAGTTAGAGATGGTGGCAGAAGAGAGGCAGGAGAGAGATCTTTCTGGTGATGAAACAGTTCTGCATAGGAAATTGTAGTAGTAGTTATATTTACAGACACTTGATAGAATGGCACAGAACTACGCACACACATTGTACCAACTTCAATTTCTGGGTTTTTATACTCTATTATGGTTACATAAAATGTAACCACTGGGGCAGTATGCGCAAATATACAATGACCTCTCTAGTTTCTTTACAACTTCCTGAGAGTCTATTATTATTTCAAAATAAAAAGTTTTTTTAAAAATTGCTTCATGCATATCTAGTTTCATGTGCCACTTAAAAAAGAACCCAAAAATAGAAACTGTAGGAAATTCATCTGAGTGCAGCTTATGCAAGAAGGGGCAGGATAACTCCATTCTGGACCTATGCTCAAAGACATGCACCTTTACCTTACAACAAAACTGGCGAACAGGCATGTGTTTTAAGAATAAAAAGCTTTTAAGGTCTCATATATTGGTTTTTATGATTCCTTTGCTTAACTGACTTTTTGGTTTGCTAAAAAACTACCAATCACATCAGATTAGAAGTACTTTCACGGTAAAAATAAAAAGTGATGTGACTGACACCTCTTACCTCTGTAATGTATTACTCTTCACGAGAGCAGTGAAGGAAAACATGGTGATTCAATCACTCCACACATCAAGCAGAAAAGAGTGTTGAACAGGCCGGGCGCGGTGGCTCACGCCTGTAATCCCAGCACTTTGGGAGGCCGAGGCGGGTGGATCACTTGAGGTCAGGAGTTCAAAACCAGCCTGGCCCACATGGTGGAACCCTGTCTCTACTAAAAGTACACAAAATTAGCCAGGCGTGGTGGTGGACACCTGTAGTCCCAGCTACTCGGGAGGCTGAGGCAGGAGAATGGCATGAACCCAGGAGGCTTGCAGTGAGCCAAGATGGCACCACTGCACTCCAGCCTGGGAGACAGAGTGAGACTCCGTCTCAAAAAAAAAAAAAAAAAGTGTTGAACAATTAAACTGTTTATATGTAATAACCAGATATATATGCCTGGCATAAAATGAGCCCTGCATTAGAGGTTGCTGGATGTAGGGTCCTAGGCCTGACGTATCCAAATAATGTCTATGATAAAGAAGTCAATAAGTGCTCTCTATAACACACAAGCATTATAAGTTTTCACACTCCAAAAACTCTTCCTTTCTAAAGTTACTAAAACTTTTAAGGGCATTTCAAACAAAAACAGCTGTGGAAAACAGATCGGTTAAATCCTATGGCTAAGAAACATCTTCCTATCCCATGTATTATTCATTACCCAGGTGTCAATTCTGTTTCCAATACAAAAGTCTCAAGCAGTGAAGCGCTTCCCACTCCAGCTGGGAGAGCCATCCTCAACAAGATAAGGGTAAAACCTGTGAGCACAAGGCTTCCATCTGCAATTCCTGTCTGCAGGGAAGCTCCCCAAAGAGGGAAACCATGTCTTATTCCTTACGGTAAAACACCACCATTCATTCCTTGTGTTTAACAACCAATGCTGGTGGAACATAAAACAAAACTTAGCAATCACTTTTTTCATGCTACTTAGACCTGTAACACATTTTTCCTCTGGTGCACACTATCCAAAACCTAGTCATTTCCCTTACTCCTAGGAGGAATTTAGATGACTTTTTTTTTTGGCCAGGTGCAGTGGCTCACGCCTGTAATCCCAGCAATTTGGGAGGCCGAGGCAGGCAGATCGCTTTGAGGTCAGGAGACCAGCCAGGCCAACACAGTGAAACCCCATCTCTACTAAAAATACAAAAATTAGTCGGGCATGCATGGTGGCACACACTTGTAATCCCAGCTACTCGGAAGGCTGAGGTAGGAGAATCACTTGCATTCGGGAGGCGGAAGTTGCAGTGAGCCAAGATTGCGCCACTGCACGCCAGCCTGGGCGACAGAGCAAGACTGCGTCTCAAAAAAAAAAAAAAAAAAAAAAAAGACTTTCTAATCATATTGGAAATGTGTAACAAGGACCAA
This sequence comes from Homo sapiens, assembly GCF_000001405.40. Classification (NCBI taxonomy): domain Eukaryota; kingdom Metazoa; phylum Chordata; class Mammalia; order Primates; family Hominidae; genus Homo; species Homo sapiens. Next base: position 20,503,671 of record NC_000015.10, read on the forward strand.
GTACTGTGTATTAAACTTAATAAATCAAAACAACAGGCCCTCTAAGATATAAATGGTGCTTCACTGTATGTTTATCTGCCCAACCCATCATAGGAACTCAATTCAGCATTAAACTGGTTTTAGATCAAGACACTAGAACTCATGTTTAGCAGTTATTAAATTACAATTATTAAGAAAAAAACTTCATTACGTAAAGTCCTTTACTCCAAAAAGTTTCTCAAAATACATAAACACTAATATAAAAACAACTATTAAAACTTTGCCTGAATCTCAGGATTTCAGAAATATGAAAGTACTCATCTCTCACGTCTCCCATCCACTTAAAATGACAAAACAGATCATTATAGCTAAATCAAAGGAAATGTTTAAAGAGAAACAAACCCAAAGAGTAACTACACCAATTCTTGACCCAATTCTCTGTACTCTGTCTTATGTAACATTACACTATGAATAACAATCCCATCATCCACAACAGCTTTTTTTTTTTTTTTTTGAAAAAAAAGCTCTCATTGTCCAGGCTGGAGTGCAACGGCACAATCTTGACCCACTGCAACCTCCACCTCCCGGGTTCAAGCGATTCTCCTGCCTCAGCCTCCCGAGTGGCTGGGATTACAGGCATACACCACCACGCCTGGCTCATTTTGTATTTTTAGTAGAGACGGGGTTTCACCATGTTGGTCAGGCTGGTCTCCAACTCCTGACCTCAGGGCATCCACCCGCCTCGGCCTCCCAAACTGCCGGGATTACAGGCGTGAGCCACTGCGCCCAGCCACACAACACAGCTCTAAACACTGGACTCTCATATCTACCAACACTCAATACCTGTTTAAAAAGAAAAAAAAAATTAGGAAGGGGCAATAACACTTCAGTGTAAGTATCCATGATCAACTACTGCTTAACAGCCTACACGACTTTTGATGAACAGTCAAGGCACATTACTTAATACTTAAAATGGTTAACCTTAGGGAGTAGGAAAATACAGACACACACAAAATATTTCAAACACTTCTTTTTGCTGCTGATAAGGAGTTCCAAAAGTAGTTTTTCCAAGCCATTTCCAAATAAAAGTAGATTGGGTGTAAAGAACTGTCTATCGAAATATTACCGTTATTATTTATTTAATAATGTCCTGACAAGCTTGCAATTATCTCATTAAATCAAAAAATTAGGATCTAAGGCCAACATTGTTTCCTCATATTCTTGATGTGAAAATCTGAGCACTCCTCTTAATAAGGAGTTACAAAGACAAAACAAACAGCTCAACTGAACTAACTCTTGTCTCTCCAGAAACACAAACACAAGACCTCATAAAATGAGTGAGTTTCTATAGGCCATAATTACTGCAACTTACTTCTCCAATTTTCCCCTCCACAGTTAACTCAACAGCTCAAAAACGATCAGTAACAAACAACAGTCACCATGATATGGTTAGGAGTGTGGCAGATTTCTTAACCAGTAATAATAAATAGGAAAAAAATTTTCTCTATTAATAGATCTCAAGTTTCGTGCACTTGCAAGAAACTAATTAAAAGGCAGCCGCGCACGATCTACAAAAACAGCCATAAGACTGTTACATTTTAAGTTACAGGAAATAAACCTGCTCCTCTAATTCAGCAAGATACAACTGACTTCCCCTTACATACCCTAAAAAAAAGCCTTACACGGGAAATTTAAACATGGAAGCAGAAACACACCAAGAAAAAGACATGTCAAACCCCACCTGTATATCTGTTTTCAACCATTTGGAGTCGAGGCGAGCCTGGGCAGCCAAACACAAAGATTCAGAGGGCATCTTTTCTCCAGCTTCCTCCCAGGTCTCAGGCCTGCAAGTAAACACATACGCTGAAGACCTAATGCTTTTTAATAGTTTACAAAGACACTCCCGAAAGGTTCAATGCAGAAAAGAAAAAAGAGAGAGAGAACAGAAAGGGGGGAGAGAAGAGCTGGTGGAGGGGAGAGAAGGGGAGAGAGGGAAAGAGGGAAGAGATGGAGAGAGAGGGAGGTGGGGAAGGGAAAGCCTCCTTCCAAGGTAGGCAGGGTGTGCCGAGTTTCTGCACCACGCTGACGAGACCTTGAGAATGGACGGTCACAGGAAGCCAAGTTACAATGTCATCCCCCTGCCCTCAAATCCAAGAAGTACACACACATAACAGGGAGCCCATCGTTTTAACGACAAATGACAGCAGCATGAATCTGCCGCTTTACCCCACAGCAGGGCGCGTGCGTGAAACAAATTACTCAAAAGGATCGCCTGCAGAAAAACCCACAGCCACCACCACTTAAGAGATGGAGAGAGGCCCGAGGCTGCCCCGCGGGTGGTCCGCGCAGGCCCCGGTGCGGCCGCCGCGCCCACGCCCGCCTCCCGGGCTCGGCCGCCCGCCAGCCCCGCGCCCGTACCGCCCCCGCCACCGGCCGCCCAGGTGCCCCAGGCCAGGACCTGACGCGCAGGGCCCGGCCGCCCCGCCCCGCCGGCGCGCGGACGCAGCCTCCCAAGAGCCGCTGGCTCAGCCGGCGCCCGCGATCCCGGCGCCTCTCGCGGCCCGAGGGGCGGGCCGACGCGGGACTGCCGCCCCCCGCGTACGGCCAATCGCAACGAGGCTGCTCCGTGGGCGCAGCCAATGGGGAAGAGGAGCCCTTCGCCGCTCCTCCCGACTCTCCCGCTTCCAGCAATCCCGCTTATCTTCCTACTTGGAGCGCCCTGGCTGCGGCCAAGGCCAACAGCGGGCGCCGGAAGGCGGGATTTCCGCCGCACGCACGCACTCCCGCACTCCCACGGGAGACTGCTTGGCCCGGAGCGCCGCGGCGGGTGGTGGCGCTCACACTAACTATAGCTATCCAGGGCGCGGGTCGAGTGGCGAGACCAGCTCCCCTGGGTATGAGAACGCATCTTTGTGCGGTCGGCTGGCTGGGGCCTGAAGAGCTTCCTCCTGTGTGTTCAACTGAACGCAGCAAAAGTCTTGGGCAGATTCCATGGAGCAGCTGTGGAAGCACTGTGCAGGGAATCGAAGAAGGAAACACCTCCAGCGACCACAAAACAAAATTGAAGAACTATAAAACAATATAGGCCGGGCGTGGTGGCTCACGTATGTAATTCTCAGCGCTTTGGGAGGCCGAAGCGGGAGGATCCCTCGAAGCCAGGAGTTGGAGGATCCCATGTTGCCAGACTGGGCAACATAGCAAGACCCCATCTCTAAAAAATAAAAATAAAAAAATTTAACAATTAGTCAGGTGTGGTGGCACACACCTGTGATCCCAGCTGCTCGGGAGGCTGAGACAGGAGAATCGCCTGAGCCTGGGAGATCAATGCTACAGTGAGCTTAGATCGTGCCACTGCACTCCAGCCTGGGCGACAGAGTGAGATCCTGCCTCTAAGAAAGAAAAATAACGGCCGGGCGTGGTGGCTCAGGCCTGTAATCCCAGCACTTTGGGAGGCCAGAGCAGGTGGATCATTTGAGGTCAGGAGTTCAAAACCAGCCTGGCCAACATGATGAGACCCCTTCTCTACTGAAAATACAAAGATTAGCCAGGTGTGGTGGCACGTGACTGTAATCCCAGCTACTCGGGAGGCCGAGGCAGGAGAATCGCTTGAACCCGGGAGGCGGAGGTTGCAGTGAGCCGACATTGCACCACTGCACTCCAGCCTGGGGGACAGAGGCTGCACCACTGCAGCCTTGACTTACCGGGTTCAGGTGGTTCTCCACCTCAGCCTTGCCACTAGCTGGGACTGCAGGCACATGGAACCACACCTGGCTAATTTTTGTAGTTTTTGTAGACGGGATTTTGCCATGTTGCCCAGGCTGGTCTCGAACTCCTGGGCTCAAGTGATCCGCCCGCCTCAGTCTCCCAAAGTGCTAGGATTACAGGTGTGAGTCACTGCACTCGGCTAATAGTAATGAACTTTGAACAGAAGGAAAGTTGTTATTATTTTCTTGGTTATGTTCTATCTATATTTTCTAATTTTTCTAAACATGTAAAGATAAAATTCTAAAAACTCAGACCTCAGAACAAAAAAATTAGAGTATAAATATTTATTTTAGTTAACTTGTACAAATTTGGTTTCTGGAAAAAGAATGGAATAGATTTTCTGAGAAAAAAAATCCACCACTTTGGCCGGGCGCAGTGGTTTACGCGTGTAATGCCTGCACTTTGGGAGGCTGAGGCGGTGGATCACCTGAGGTGAGGAGTTCAAGACCAGCCTGACCGACATGAAGAAACCCCTGTCTCTACTAAAAATACAAAAATTAGTCAGGCCTGGTGGCACGCACCTGTAATCCCAGCTACTCAGGAGGCTGAGGCTGGAGAATCGCTTGAACCCAGGAGGCAGAGGTTGCAGTGAGCTGAGATCGCACCATAGCGCTCCAGCCTGGGTGACAAAAGGAAAACTCTGTCTCAAAAAGAAAGAAAGAAAAGCAGACTGGCTGAAAGGATTGAAGAACAAAATATGATCCACCAATGTGCTATCTACAAGATAAACATTTTAAATACAGAAACAGATTGAAAGTAAAGGGATACAAAGATACAATTAAAATAGTAACCAAAAAAGAGCTGAAGGGGCTGTACTAATATCAAATGTAATACACTTTAAATTAAAGCAGGGCTGGGCATGGTAGCTCAGGCCTGCAATCCCAGCACTTTGGGAGGTGGAGGCAGAGAGACACTTGAGCCCAGAAGTTCGAGATCAGCCTGAGCAACATGGCATAATCCCATCTCTACAAAAAATACAAAAATTAGGCGGGCATGGTGGTACCCACCTGTGGTCCCAGCTATTTGGGAGGCTGAGGTGGGAGGATCATGTGAGCTGGGGAAGTTGAGGCCGCAGTGAGCTAAGATCGGGCCCCTGCACTCCACCCTGGGCAACAGAGCGAGACCCTGTCTGAAAATAAAAAAAAATAAAAAACGGGGTTGAGAGACAAAAAAGGACATCCTTTTTTTTATTATTGTATTTTGAAATGGAGTTTCGCTCGTTGCCCAGGCTGGAGTGCAATCATGTGATCTTGGCTCACTGCAACCTCCGCCTCCCGGGTTCAAGTGATTGTCGTGCCTCAGGCTCCCGAGTAGCTGGCATTACATGTGCCTGCCATCACGCCCAGCTAATTTTTGTATTTTGATACAGACGGGGTTTCACCATGTTGGCCAGGGTGGTCTCCAACTACTGACCTCAGGTGATCCACCTGCCTTGGCCTCCCAAAATGCTGGGACTACAGACATGAGCCACCGCGCCAGCCGAAACCTTCATTTTAAAAAAGGCTGGGTCAGGCATCATGCCTCATGCCTGTAATCCCAGCACTTTGAGAGGGCAACGCAGGCGGATCACCTGACGTCAGGAGTTCGAGACCAGACTGACCAACATGGTGAAACCCCGTCTCTACCAAAAATATAAAAATTAGCCGGGTGTGGTGGCACACACCTGTAATCCCAGCTACTCAGGAGGCTGAGGCAGGAGAATTGCTTGAATCTGGGAGGTGGAGGATGCAGTGAGCCGAGATTGTGCTACCACACTGCAGCCAGGGTGACAGAGTGAGACGCCATCTCAAAAAATAAATAAAGGCTGGGTGCCAGATGTGGTGCATAGGCCTAGTTTGTTGACTCCTGTACTTAACATATAAAACTCTAAAGAACAGTGGGAAGGAGCTTCCCTCTAGAGGCACAGGAGCGGCCAAGTTGGTCCCTGAGCAGTGACTTTATAATAACATGTTACACTGTGTTTTTTGTTTTTGTTTTGTTTTTTGTTTGTTTGAGACGGAGTTTCGCTCTTGTTGCCCAGGCTGGAGTACAATGGCGTGATCTCAGCTCAAAACAACCTCTACCTCCCAGATTCAAGCGATTCTCCTGCCTCAGCCTCCAAAGTAGCTGGGATTTCAGTCATGCAACACCATGCCCGGCTAATTTTGTACTTTTAGTAGGGATGGGGTTTCTCCATGTTGGTCAGGCTGGTCTCGAACTCCTGACCTCAAGGGATCTGCCCGCCTCGGCCTCCCAAAGTGCTGGGATTACAGGCGTGAGCCACCACACCCAGCCTTTATTTTTTTTCTTTTTTTTTAGACACAGTCTGACTCCGTTGCCCAGGCTGGAGTGCAGTAGCACAATCTTGGTTCACTGTAACTTCTGCCTCCCAGGTTCAAGCGATTCTCCTGCCTCAGCCTCCCAAGTAGCTGGGATTACAGGCATGCACCACCACATCTGACTAATTTTTGTATTTTTAGTAGAGATGGGGTTTCACCATGTTGGCCAGGCTGGTCTCAAACTCCTCACCTCAAGTAATCCGTCCGCCTCGGCCTCCCAAAGTGCTGGGATTACAAGGCGTGACCCACCGGGCCTGGCCCTGTGTGTTGTTTTATGTATGTTTCTATATGTGTTATATTTCACAATAAACTAAATATTAAAACAAAGAATAACTGATAGCTATGCACAAAGGTATTTAAATTTCACCCTCACAAATAATTTTTTTTTTTTGAGACAGGATCTCACTCTGTTACCCAGGCTGGAGTGCAGTGGCACCACCTTGGTTCACTGCAGACTTGACCTCCCAGGCCCAAGCGATCCTTCTACCTCAGCCTCCTGAGTAGCTGGGACTACAGGCACACTCCACCACACCCACCTAATTTTTGTATTTTTGGTAAAGATGGGGTTTCACCATGTTGGCCAGGCTGGTCTCGAACTTCTGGGATCAAGGAATCCTCCAACCTTGGCTTTCCAAAGTGCTGGTATTACAGGCGTGAGCCACTGTACCCGGCCAAGAATAGTTTCTTCTCCTTACCTAGGTAGAGACCTCTGCAGAAATGCTGGGAGATCTTTGGAGAGGGGAGATTTTTTAAATAAAAAATTTAATACTTGGAGGGGCGTGGTGGCTTACCCCTGTAATCCCAGCACTTTGGGAGGCCAAGGCGGACAGATCAGGAAGTCAGGAGATTGAGACCACCCTGGCTAACACGGTGAAACCCCATCTCTACTAAAAAAAATACAAAAAATTAGCTGGGCATCGTGGCGGGCGCCTGTAGTCCCAGCTACTCGGGAGGCTGAGTCAGGAGACTGGCGTGAACCTGGGAGGCGGAGCTTGCAGTGAGCCGACATCGGGCCACTGCACTCCAGCCTGGGCGACACAGCAAGACTTCGTCTCAAAAAAAAAAAAAAAAATTAATGCTTTGGGATGCCAAGGCAGGTGGATCACGAGGTCAGGAGTTGTTCAAGAACTGCCTGGCCAAGATGGTGAAACCCCGTAAAAATACAAAAATTTGCCGGGCTTGGTGGCAGGTGCCTGTAATCCCAGCTATTCAGGAGGCTGAGGCAGGAGAATTGCTTGAACCTGGGTGGCAGAGGTTGCAGGGAGCCAAGATAGCACCACTGCACTCCAGCCTGGGCAATAAGAGTCAGACTCTGTCTAAAAAAAAAAAAAAAAAAAAAAAAACTGATCTAGTTCAAAACCTCACTTTGAATCCACCCACATTGCTCTAAAATACTTTCATCTTTCCTGTGGCTAAAACCTTAAAGCCTTGCCAGTAACTCCCATTGCACTTAAGGAAATCCAATCTCCCTTGTTGTGGCCCCTGAACAGGCTGCTGCTGGCCCACCACGGTGCCTCTAGTTTGTGTAAAATGCATATGTTAATTTATAATATATGAGGCTTTTTTAGCTCTAAAAGGCTATTATTCACTAGTTGCTGTGTGAATCAGTATTTCTGGGTGCAGTTAGAAATTATTAGAGTTGATGCCCAAGACTCATCTCCATCAGCACGGGGGAGGCATCTGCTCGTTTTATGGTCAGTGACTCTGGGCCTCCTGCTGGGCTAAGTCCTGAGGTGGGTCTGACTCAGGTCAGAGCTGTGCACCCCGGCCCTCCTCCCCAACGTGCATGAGTGCTCTTTAGGATGGAGCTGAACACTGGCTTCTCAAAACCACTTGGCCCCATCACAGGCCCTGAGAACTGATTGGGTCACTCTGGTGGGCTCCCCAGCCCTAGCCAAGAAGGGTTTCTCTAGGGAGCCTGGCCCCCCACTTATGAGACCTGGAGCCCCAAAGATCCTGACCAGGGGCCTGCCTCCTCCAGGGAGGGGCCACTCGCCCCCACCAAGCTCCCTTCACAGAGACCCATCCAACAGAGCTGAGGAAAACCATGCCTCATAAATGAATAAATACATAAATAAGGATGCCGGGGACCTGTGGATTTTGTAATTCCTGAAAGAAGGCAGAGTGGCTGGCTCACAGCAAGCGCAGTAGGAGATACTGCTCCCCGGCCAGGCTGTTCTCTGTCTCTTTGGAGGGAGCCCTAGGGTACAAGAAAAGCCAGAGGAGACCAGCTGGCCCAGAAGGTGCCTCTCCACCCCTTCCCCAGAGTTTCTGGGAAACAAAGCCCACCCGAGGGACACATGCCTTCTTGGGAGTTGTACCAGGCCTCCTTCCTCATCCGGCCATGCAGTGGTTTTCAGTGCCCGAAACAGATGAATAAAATAGGCCCTTTACTGGATGTTCTTCAGGAACATGCACACTTCTTTGGATCTTACCATCGTTTTATCTCTATTTAAAGTTAAATGCTGTGTTATACAGAGTATTGGTAAAGATGTAGAGCTACAAGAACTGTCAAGCTGGCAGTAGCATAAAATTGTATAAGCACATTGGAAACCTGTTTGGCAGCTTCTACTAAAGCTATATCTATGCCTACGTTCAGAAATTCCATCCTAAGCATGTACACAAGAGAAACGAGTGCATATGTCCACAAAAAGACTTATATAAGAATGTTCACTGCCATTTTTATTCATAAGAGCCCCAAATGAAAACAACCTAAGTGTCCATCAACAGGAGAGTGAATAAATGGTGATACAGTCACATCATGGAATACTACACAGCCAAAAAAGAAAAATGAAGTGGTAGGAACACTCAACGACATGGGTGAATAGAGGGAGCCAGGTATGAGAGACAGTGCACAGTACCAGCCCACCTAGATGAAGCGCAGGAAGGCAGAACTGACGATGATTGAAGTCAGAAGAGTAGTTTCCTTTGTGGGAAAGTGTAGGTCAGGAAGGAGCCTTCTGGGGTACTACAAATCTGCCGTATTTTGGCTGGGTGCAACAGCTCACACCAGCACTTCGGGAGGCATAGGCGAGAGGGTCACTTGAGCCCAGGAGTTAGAGACCAGCTTGGGCAACACAGCGAGATCCCATCTCTACAAAAAAATTAAAAATTAGCGTGGCATGCTGGTGTGCACCTGTAGTCTCAGCTACTCAGGAGGCTGAGGCAGGAGGATTGCTTGAGCTTAAGAGTTTGAGGTTGCAGTGAGCTCCCAAAGTGCTGGGATTACAGGTGTGAGACACTATACCAGCCTGATTTTTAAATACTGACCAAGCCTTGTGTTACTGGGATAGGCATCACTTGGCCACAATTTACTACTCTCTTTCTTTTTTTTTTTTTTTTTTTTTTGAGACAGAATCTCACTCTGTCACCCAGGCTGGAGTGCATTGGTGCAATCTCAGCTCTCTGCAACCTCTGCCTCCTGGGTTCAAGCAATTCTCCTGCCTCAGCTTCCTGAGTAGCTGGGATTAGAGGTGTGCACCACCACACCTGGCTAATTTTGTTTGTTTGTTGTTTGTTTTTAGTAGAGATGGGGTTTCACCATGTTGGCCAGCCTGGTCTCCAACTCCTGACCTCAAGTGATCCACCCTCCTTGGCATCCCAATATTCCTATGATTACAGGCGTGAGCCACTGCGCCCGGCCCTATTCTGTTTCTATATTGCTAAATTTGACTTGCTAACACGTTTTTGAGGATTTTTCTGTTGATGCTCATCAGGGATGTTGGTTTGCAGTTTTCTTTCTTTGTATTACACTATCTCGTCTGGCTTTCTGTCAGGGGAAAGCTGACCTTATACAAAGTATTGGCATGTGTTCCCTCCTTTTCCATTTTCTCTAAGGGATTGTGTAGAATTAGTGTTATTTCTTCTTTAAATGTTTTTGAATCCATCTGAACCTGGAGATTTCTTTCTAAAAGATTTTACGCCGGGCACGGTGGCTCGTGCCTATAATCCCAGCACGTTGGGAGGCCGAGGCAGGTGGATCACCTGAGGTCAGGAGTTTGAGACCAGCCTGGCTAACATGGTGAAACCCCGTTTCTACTAAAAATACAAAAAATTAGTCGAGCTTGGTGACGTGCGCCTGTAATCCCAGCTACTCAGGAGGCTAAGGCAGGAGAATCACTTGAACCTGGGAGGCAGAGATTGCAGAGAGCTGAGATTGCACCAATGCACTCCAGCCTGGGTGACAGAGTGAGACTCAGGCTCAAAAAAAAAAAAAATTTTTTTACAAATTCAATTTATTTAACAGATACAGAACTATTCAGGTAACCTGTTTGTTTCTAGGAGGATTTTCCTGGTTTGTGGCACTCGGACATTGCTTTATTTCATCTAAGTTGTCTGATTTTTAAGTGTCAAGTTTTCCTTAGTGTTCTCTTGCTAACCGTCTGAAGTCTGTGGGGCCTGCAGTGATGTCCCTTCATTCATTCCTGATACTGATAATTTGTATCTTTTCTGTTTTTTTCTTTGTCAGTTTTCCTAGAGTTTTTCAATTTTGTTGATCTTTTCAAAGAATGATCTTTAAGTTTCATTAATTTTTCCCTTCTTTTTTTGCTTTCAATCTCATTAGTTTCTGCTTTTATCTTGGCATTTGTTCCTTTGGCTTGTTTTGCGTTCACTTTGCTCTTTTTCTGGTTTCTTAAGGTGGAAACTTAGATTGCTGATTTAGACCTATCTTTTTTGTAATATATAATGATTTGATGCTATAAATTTTCCTCTAAGCAGTGCTTTAATTAACCCCACAAATTTTGGTGCATTTTCATTTATGTTCAAAATATTTTCTAATTTCTTTTGAGAATTGTTCTTTGACCCATGGATGATGATGATGATGATTATTATTATTATTATTTTTCTTCAATACGGAGTTTCACTGTTGTTGCCCAGGCTGGAGTGCAATGACATGATCTCGGCTCACTGCAACCTCTGTCTCCTGGGTTCAAGCGATTCTCCTGCCTCAGCCTCCTGATTAGCTGGGACTACGGGCACCCGCCACCATGCCCGGCTAATTGTTTTGTATTTTCAGTAGAGATGGGGTTTCTCCATGTTGGCCAGGCTGATCTTCAACTCCTGGCCTCAGGTGATCCCCCCAACTTGGCCTCCCACAGTGTTGGGATTACACGCGTGAGCCAGTGCGCCCGGCCTGACCCATGGATTATTAAGTATGTTGTTTTATTTTGAAGTGTTTGCAGATTGTTTTGTTAATGATTTCTAGTTTAATACCATTGTGATTGGAGAACAAACTGCATATGATTTCATTTCTTTTAAATTTGTTAAGATTTATGTGTCAGGTTATGTTCTCAGTGAACATTCTGTATGTGCTTAAAAAGTATATGTATGGTCTGTATATGTATGGTCTGTATATACATATATGTATACATATATGTGTAAAAAGTATATGTATGGTCTGTATGTGCTTAAAAAGTATATGTATGGTCCAGCACTTTGGGAGGCCGAGGCAGGCAGATCACAAGGTCAGGAGATCGAGACCATCCTGGCTAACAGGGTGAAACTCCGTCTCTACTAAAAATACAAAAAAAATTACCCGGGCATGATGGCGGGTGCCTGTAGTCCCAGCTACTTGGGAGGCTGAGGCAGGAGACTGGCTTGAGCCTGGGAAGCAGAGCTTGCAGTGAACTGAGATCATGCGACTGCACTCCAGCCTGGGCGACAGAGCTAGACTCCATCTCAAAAAAAATAAAATTTAAAAAAAGTATATGTAAAGTGTATGTATGGCCGGGCACGGTGGCTCACGCCTGTAATCCCAGCACTTTGGGAGGCCAAGGCAGGTGGATCACGAGGTCAGGAAATCAAGACCATCCTGGCTGACATGGTGAAACCCCATCTCTACTAAAAATAAAAATTAAAAAAATAATAATAATTAGCCAGGCGTGGTGGTGAGCACCTGTAGTCCCAGCTACTCAGGAGGCTGAGGTAGGAGAATGGCGTGAACCCAGGAGGCAGAGCTTGCAGTGGGCTGAGATCCCGCCACTGCACTCTAGCCTGGGCGACAGAGCGAGACTCTGTCTCAAAAAAAAAAAAAAGTATATGTATTTTGCTGTTGTTGGGTGAAGTGTTCTATAAATTAGATCCAGTTTATTGAAGGTGTTCTACAGTTCTCCTAGATTTTTGCCGATTACTTGTTCTCTCACTATGAAAGATATTGTGTGTGTTATATGTGTCTAACAATTCATTGTCTAGTTAGAGTTGCTATTATACCACTTCAAGTGGATGGAGAGCCTCACTGCCATCCATTAATGTGCATTAATCATTTTGAGAGTGAAAAGATTTTTTAAAATGTTTTTACTTTTTTAGGTATGGCCAAGTGAGATGGGGCTAGTGAAATGGGTGGGAGAATTGGAAGCTGATAGTGTGTGAGCTAGACACCCATGAATGCTTTTCCACTGGGCAGTTAGAGGGATGATAGGTAATAATATAAGGCAGCTCCATCACACAAGCTGGTGACTCCTGTGCGACAGACCAAGAGCTGCATTTGGAGATTCATTTCCGATTGTTGCGTTTCCTCTTAGAGCATTGCTTGGTCATCGTGTTCTGAGTGGTCCATTGGCCTCCATGTCCCTTTTGGGGTGGATATTTGCTCAGTGACTTTTGAGCAGCTGGATCTCCTGCTTCGGCAGGTGAGTGAGGGGATGGATGGCTCCACGGACTGGCCCCCGCCCCAGGAGAAAGAGTGCGTGGCCGTGGCAACGCTGAATCTTCCCCGACTTCAGGTATTCGTGATTTCCCTTCCTCTTGCTCCTTTTATAAGTGTCTTAGCGATTTGTAAGAAGGTTTATGTATTTTGAAGGACATAGGTTTTAGCCTGCTGGGGGAAGTATTTTAAAGTAAGATTGTAATGCACTAATAATGGACGCAAGGCTTAAAAAACTTGATCTGTTTATTTTATGTTTGTCCTGGAAGTCAGCCTCGGCATGCAGGAAGAGTGTATATGGATTGTGTTATTTTTGCTATAATCATTAGTTTGTTGGTATTCTTACTGTTTTACTGTTGTTGCGTGTGGAGAAATGACTGGGTGAGATCACAGGTGATGGAGAGAGACAGCGCTCAGCTGAGAGACCAGTGCTGGCCTGTCTCTCCTCTGTCCTGTGAAAACCCTGCTCCAGGAGGGTCCAGTCTTTTGGTTTCCCTGGGCCACACTGGAAGAAGAATTGTCTTGGGCTACACATAAAATACACTTATGATAGCTGATGAGCTTAAAAAAAGAATCCCAAAAATATCTCATGATGTTTTAAGAAATTTTACTTTGGGCCACATTCAAAGCTGCCCTGGGCCACATGCTGCCCTCGGGCCGTGGGTTGAACAAGCTTGATCTACTCAGTAAGCTCGGCTCCCAAAGCAATACCTTCCTTTCCTCACCATGAAGGCTGTGGTTAGGGTCAAAATAAAAGCTACAAAAGCCTTCCTCCCTAGCAAAACTAAAGCTGAAGTGTTTGATCATCATCTTTTGTCTTTCTAATAAAACCCTCTAACTTAATGACAAGAACCACGGTTTTCTCGACATAGTAATTTTTCCCTTTTATTACAGTGGTTTCTTGTAACAACCCATCATGTCCCTCTTCCAGCCCCTCCCCTTTTTGCCCTGCTTCTAGAATGTACAGAACTGAGTGTAGTGTTTAGTTGCAGTAATGAACTGAGCAGAGGTCTGGAGCATGCTTCTCCTCTAGTCCTCTGTAGCACTCATTTATCACCATATCTGTGGCATCCTGGCATTTGCATGGTTGCGCCCCAGGTGTTTGCTGCCCCTCCTGGTTTGCGGTGATGTGTCTGTTCTGGTCAGTGCTGTGGGGCGTGGCCTTGTGTATGTCTTAGGCTGTCGAGGTGTCCCAGCGTATGGTTTTGCATTTGCCTCTCCGGGGTCCTGAGGGTTCTGTAGGTTTCACAGACTCCAGGTGAGTTTCGGTGGTCATTTCCTGACCTGTGATATCTATACCTAGATGAGTGGTGTGCTTTTGATTTCACTTCTACTCACAGGGCAAGGCCGGGTCTCTGATTTCTCATGGGGCCTCTTGCTACCCAAAGCCTGGGACGGGCAGTGTGTTGCCCCCTGGCTGCGGTTGGCTGGCAGGCAGGTGATCCTGAGTGGCTCCCAGCCTTCTGCAGGAAGCTCGGGTTCAGTGGGTCCTTGTGTGCATTCCCGTGTGGGAGGTTGTGCTGAAGCCTGGCGGCTTGGCTCTGCTTTCAGAGCCCGGAACCTCTTGACTCCTGCTGTGTGTGCCCACGTGAATTTTGGTTTTGCACTTGAGGAGTTTCCCTGTGTACTCTCAGCTCCGCAGTCTAATTTTTAGCAGCTCTTTTTTTTTTTAGACAGGGTGTCACTTTGTCACCCAGGCTGGAATGCAGTGGTACAGTCTTGGCCTGCCAGGTTCAAGTGATTCTCCTGCCTCAGCCTCCCAAGTAGCTGGGACTACAGGTGTGTACCATCACACCCGGCTGATTTTTTTATAGAGATGGGGTTTCATCATGTTGGCCAGGCTGATCTTGAACTCCTGATCTCAAGTGAGCTTTCCACGTCGGCCTCCCAAAGTGCTGGGATTACAGGCATGAGCCACCGCCTGTGGCAGCTTTTGTGGTTACATTGTAGCCATTATTTCTGTGTTTGGTGCAGATTGTTGGGGCGGGTGGAGGTTGCTGTTGCTAGTTGTTTAGCTCTTCTGCTCATCTTGAGCTTTTCCATATATGTGTTCATAGTGGGGTTAAAAAAAATTCCTCTAGAAAATACTTCAACTATTGTGGGTAAGAGTTTTTTTAGTCCAGTTTTTAAAAATACGTAAACTGAGAAGTTATTTTGTCTATTTAGATAATACTTCAAATTGACTTTTATTCAGTGTTTAATAAGACTTTGAAATTCACTCATTTTTAGGGGTTCTAAGTGAAAATTGTTTTTCTCCTTTCAGTTGCATGCTGCCATTAGTCACCAGGTTGACCTGGAATTCCTTGGTTTAGGTCTGGGCAGCGTCTTCCTGAACAGCCTGAAGCAGAAGGTGGTGACCCTGGCAAGCAGCGCAGACGTGCTGAGCACCGTGCAGTCGGCCTCCCAGGCCATGCTGCAGAGCGGCTGGTCCATGCTGTTGCCCACCGCTGAGAAGCAGGCCCGGGCACTCTGCTCTCCTGTCCTGCGGAGGTGGGCTCGGGGAAGGAACAGGAGAGGGCATGGGTCAGGGTGCTGGGAGGGGATGGCGTTTCACTCAAATTGGCACACACTTTCTATTTCAGTTTCAGGCAATGAAGTGAGCATAAGTCCAGGTCATCGATTGGTGATTGATCTTCTGGTGGGCAGCCTGATGGCTGATGGAGGGTTGGAGTCAGCCTTACACGCAGCCATTACTGCAGAGATCCAGGTATGGCCTTGGAGGCACACGTGACCTGGTGGTGGGCTGAGATCAGAAATACCACACTCACACATGTGAAGAATAACTGAAAACAGTAAAACACTAAACTTATATCCAAGTATTTTTTTAAATTAAAATTCTTTTATGTGCTAATTTTAAAAATTATTGAGATGATTTGTGATAAAATACTGCATGTTGTCTGTTTCAGTGAAGTTAACAGGTAACCTGTTCCTCATGTAGACCATTCCCGTCACCCGGAAAGATCCCTGTGCTCCTTGGCACTTGCAGCCAGGATACTCCCCTGCCCTGAGATTAGATTCATTTTTCCTGCTCTGAGTGTCGCAGCAATATAACTGTATAGTATGCACTCTTTCCTGCTTTGCCTTGGAGAATGATTTTCAGATTCACTCACTGTTGTGTGTATTGCGACTTCGTTTTTATTATTGGGAAGTTTTCCATTTTATAGGTGTAGTACTGTTTGTTAGTTCATTCTCCTATTGAAGGACATGTAATTGTTTTTGGTTTTTGTTTTCTTTTTTTTTTTTTTTTTTTGAGACAGGGTCTTGCTCTGTCACCCAGGCTGTATACAGTGACCTGATGTTGGCTCACTGCAGCCTTGTACTCCTAGGTTCAAATGATCCTCCCACCTCAGCCTCCTGTGTTGCAGGGACCACATACATGTCACCATGCCCGGCTAGTTTTTTGATTTTTTTGTAGAGACAAGGTTTCACTGTGTTGCAAGGCTGGTCTTCAACTCCTGGGCTCCAGTGATCCCCCCACCTTGGCCTCCCAAAGTGTTGGGATTACAAGCATGAGCCACCGCGCCCAGGCTTTCTGGTTTTTGGCCGTGTAGAGCTGCCACAATTGTGCTGTGAACAAGTACTTTAGTGAACATATGTTCTCCCTTTGGATAAACACTTGGAGTGGAATTTGTTAGGTCCTGGGGTTAGTGTGTGTTCATAGTTTCCCAAAGTGGCTTTGCCATTTGCATTTGAACCAGGACTTTTGTGTGTGAGAATTCTAGCTCCTTCTTGTCCTTACAGAGCAGCTGGATGCTGTGTGTGTGGAGCCGATCACATTGGGTTTTGTGTGAGCCATTAGCAGGGTTAAGGATTTTAGGGACTTCACAGAAGGAGGCTGGAGAGCATCAGCAGAGGCAGCCTAGACCTTGGATCTGTAAAAAGAAGACACTGTTTGAAACTGCACAGATGAGTTGGGGTTTCCAACAGGGCAGGTGGGGGCCTGTGGGTGGATGGGTGTGGCAGCCACAGAGGCTGGGATAGCTTGGCACTGGGGTCAGGGCTCAGCCAGCCTGTGTGCCTTCACACCTGGTAATGAGATCACTTGTAAACAATTTCTGTTTATCAATTACAGGATACAAAAAAAGAAGCACGGAAGGAAAAAGAAATTTATGAACAGGAAGCAAATGCCTCAACATTTCATAGAAGGAGGACTCCATTGGATAAAGACCTTATTAATACGGGGATCTGTGAGTCTTCTGGCAAACAGTGTTTGCCTCTGGTTCAGCTCATACAACAGCTTCTTAGGTAAATCATATTAGCTGTATTGTATTGTGTTTTATTTATTTACTTTTTTGTTTTTTGAGACAGAGTTTCGCTCTTGTTGCCCAGGCCCGAGTGCAGTGGTGCGATCTTGACTCACTGCAACCTCCGCCTCCCAGGTTCAAGTAATTCCTCTGCCTCAGCCTCTCGAGCAGCTGGGATTACAGGCATGCGCCACCATGCCCCACTAATTTTGTAGTTTTATTAGAGACAGGGTTTTGTCATGTTGGTCAGGCCGGTCTTGAACTCCCGACCTCAGGTGGTCCATCCACTTTGGCCTATCAAAATGTTGGGATTACAGGCATTAGCCACCACGCCTGGCCTATTTATTTACTTATTAATGGTGTTTTTTTTTTTTTTTTTTTTTTTTTTGAGATGGAGTCTTGCTCTATCGTCCAGGCTGGAGTGCAGTGTCACGATCTTGGCTCACTGCAACCCCCGCCTCCTGGGTTCAAGCTATTCTCCTGCCTCAGCCTCCCGAGTAGCTGGGACTACAGGCGTCTGCAACCACACCTGGCTGATTTTTGTATTTTTAGTAGAGATGGGGTTTTACCATATTGGTCAGGCTGGTCTCAAATTCCTGACGTCAGGTGACCCACCTGCCTTGGCCTCTCAAAATGTTGGGATTACAGGTGTTAGCCACTGTGCCTGGCCTGTATTGTATTTTAATAGGTGATTATTGGTTTTCATATTAAGATAGTGAAATCTAGCGCAAGGATCTCAAAAATTTGTTTGATGATTGAAGGAATATTCTGAAAATTACCTAGTATAGATGTTAGGATAAAGAGCAGACCCTTTTCAATATAGGTGAGAGGAGAAGTTGGAGGGTGTGATGATACTCAAAAGTTTTTCACTGAAGAGAAATTGGGGCGTGCAGTAAACATGTAAAAAGATTCTTACTAATAAGCAGGTGGATGCAAATGAAAATCATCATGGAAGGTTATTTTTAAAACTGATTGTATCATTGCCTCACTTTATATATTACAGAGTTATACATACTACTTTGTAAGATAACTTTTCTTTTCAAAACTGAAGTCAATGTGATAGAATGGTGAGCATTATTTTGGAAGGCCAGACTAGGAGGAGGTGGGAGGAAGAAGTCAGACTCAGCCTGTGAACAGACGCTAACCTTGGCAGAAGCCAAAACAGTCAGACAGTGTTGTGTAAAAATGATCATTCAAGAAGAGCGAAACAGCAAGGTGATTTGTGAAAGAGATTTATTAGAAAATGAAACACATTTATACCTCTGTTCAATAAAAATCTGCTTTTCGTCAACTGATGCTCCTGGTTTTTGTTTCTACACATAGAGAAAGCAGAGCCCTGGCAGCTTGGGTCAGGCAGCCGAGTACAGACCAGGGAGCCCTGGGCAGTGGCTGCAGCTCTCAGCTGGCCTGTTCATGGGGCCATGGTGGGTCTGTGGCGTGGGGTGGGCCTGTGGCGTGGGGTGGGCCTGCGGCGTGGGGTGGGCCCGCGGCATGGGGTGGGCCTGCTGTCCACAGCCAGAAAAACTAACTTAGTGCACACACAGTGAAATTTTGAAACAGGAAGTTTTAGAGCTAGTTTCTGTCATAGATTTTAGTAAATGCTATTTTGCAAAACCTTTTTCTGATGTTTGTTTTGTTTTTCTAATCTGATAATGCATATTTCACACATTCTGGTCTTTAACAAATGGAAATAAAGAGAACTAAACAATATAGTTTGTGTCGATGGAAAGAGCTTGGGATTTGTTCTCAGAAAATTTCAGTTACAACAGTTTGTTCATATAGGTGGACTTCCAACACAGTAACTATAGGAGTAAGAATAAAAGCTGTGTTTACTTTCACAGAGTTAATTAAGAATACATGAGAAAATGGATGTTAAAAACCTTGTAATTAAAATGTACAGTTACATGCAAAGTTTTAAAGTGAGCATTTTCCAGAGGTGCTTTTCTAAGTTCTTGAATGCCTCTCCCTTTTCTGAAGTGGCTGCTTCGTGGGGCTGTTGGTCTTTGGCAGGGGGTGAGTGCAGGGTTCCTGTTGTGGGTCCTTTGTTCTCACGAGGGCAGTGCCCGTTTTCCCCGTCTCCTGCTTGCCCAGACTGTTCCCGTGCGCAGAGAGACTGGCCTGTTTGACCTGCAGCTGTGCTGTTTGAGCTGCAGCTGTGTAGCCTGCGCTGGCCCATCTGGCTACACTCAACACCGTTTGCTGATCAGCACTTGAAGTCTGTCCGTCATAGCTGAGACACTGAATATTTTATCTGTTTAATTTTTATTCATTAAAATGCAGGTTTGAAAATTTGATTCTGTTATTAGAAAGCACTTAAGTATGTTTAGAATCACTTGGCCTTGGGAGTCTACTTTGTCAACTGTGTATTTTATGAGTCTAAATGGAGATCAGATGTTTTCAATGCAAATTTCACGGTCCAAATTGAAATGTGTTACATATGTAAGCTACTCAGATGGTTTTTGAGGACTTAATATGAAATAACCTATGTAAAATATCTCAATAATTTTTCTTAGATTGATTTCATGTTGAAATGGTCATATTTTTGATCTGTTGGAATAACTATGATACATTATTAAAATTATTTTTATTTTTTAAGATGGAATCTTACTCTGTTGACCAGACCGGAGTGCAGTGGTGCAATCTTGGCTCACTGCAACCTCCGCCTCTTGTGTTCAAGTGATTCTCCTGCCTCAGCCTCCTGAGCAGCTGGGACTACAGGACTACAGACTCCCGAGCAGCTGGGACTACCACCACGCCTGGCTGATTTTTGTATTTTTGTAGAGACAGAGTTTCACCATGTTGGCCAGGCTGGTCTCGAACTCCTGACCTCAAGTAATCTGCCCGCTTTGGCTTCCCAGAGTGCTGGGATTACAGGCATGAGCCACTGCAACCAGCCATTATTACAATTAATTTTATGTGTTGTTGTTTTTCTTGTTGGTGTGTTTTTTGTTTTTTTTTTTTACTTTTGTTAATGTGACTAAGAACAATTTTTTTTCCCCACCCGGAGATGGATCCTCACTCTGTTGCCTGGACTGGAGTGCAGTAGCACGATCTCAGCTCACTGCAGCCTCTGCCTCCTGGGTTCAAATGATTCTCCTGCCTCAACCTCCTGAGTGGCTGGGACTAACAGAAGCATGCCACCATACCTGGCTAATTTTTGTATTTTTAGTAGAGATGGGGTTTCACCATGTTGGCCAGGATGGTCTTGAACTCCCAACCTCAGGTAATCTGCCCACCTCAGCCTCCCAAAGTGTTGGGATTACAGGCGTGAGCCACCGCACCTGGCCATGTTTATTAATACGACTAAGAACATTTTGAATTGCACCTGTGGCTCCATTGGTGTCCTGGGCAGGTGGCTCTGTGCTGTCCACACAGGTTGTCTCCTGTGTCTTCGTCTTCGCTGCGTGTGACTTTTTGGTTCCTGTGGCACGTGGGGTCCTGTATGGGACATTGGTTCTACAGCAGATTTATAGTAAGGATGTACCTACTAAAAAATACAAAATAAAAAGAATAGACACAAACATAGAAATAAGTATCACCTCACAAAACTTTTGGAAAGTAGAAAAAGAAAAATGCATTCGCAGCTTTCCAGTAGCCGATATCCAGGCTGTCTTCATAAGCATGGATCATGTGTCCCTCTCCTGCATGGGTAGACACTGTTTTCTCACCTTAAGTGTTTGTGAGTGAAGGATTCTTGATGTGTTGACTTGGCAGATGCAGTTGTTGAACAGTAGTTTATCTAAAGATCGTAAGAGACTTTTGGAGACATTTCATGTCCTTTTTTCCCTTGGAAAACGTGGGTTGGAGAAATCGCTGCTTGCCAAAAATAAGCCGTGAAACGTATTTCAGAGTAGATCGTTATTTACATGCTGGCGAGGAGCCACAGAATACCATTTACATTTGAAAATAGAGTGCTGCGAAGTTTTTATAAGTAGTGAATCCCATCAGAATTACACATTTTGATTATGGCTCTAAATTTTATATTAAATAAACTAAAAATTTCATTGTATTGTATTACCGTCTCTTGCTCCTTCAGGTGTAGCATACATGTTAGATTCTAGACCTGTTTCTTGTGTTACAGTGGTGTTATCCAGGCAGGGTATCATGTAGTGAAGGTGATGTCTAGTGGTGGTGGTGAGCCCAGTGAAGGCGCATCCTTGCCGTGTGTGATGAGGGCCTGTGGGTTGCTATGGGATTCCCCAACCCTGGCTCCTCTGTCTCCTGCTTCTGTCCTTACTCACACTGCTGGTAGTTTTCTGGTGTGAGCCACGGGGGCAAGTGGGATTGACAAGCCTGCTGTCACATTAGGAACCTGAGTTAAAGTGGAGCTGAAAGCATGTCCTCGCTCTTGATGTTGTGCAGAGAGCCACCTGTGCTCCTGGCTCAACGGGGCGTGTGTGGTGGGTCTGGAACCAGGCCCTGGTTTGGCTCTCCTCCCCTCCATGTTCCCCTGTCCTGTCTGATTTGCTTCACACTGACATAAGAGTTACTTTCCCTCGGCCTCCCAAAGTGCTGGTATTACAGGCATTAGCCACCGCGCCCAGCTAGCATCCTTTCAAGTACTGGGGTACACCCAAGCTCCCAGCTTCTAGCTAGGAGTCATTTGGTCCCTCTTTATCCCAAAGGACTTGCCACCATCTTTGGTTCCCAAAGCCCAGGAGGGTCCAGGCTCTTCAGCCTCCAACCACTTTGCATTTCTTGTCTGCTTTTCGTTCATGGAGATAATTAACTTATTTTTCAGCCTGGGCATGTCTTTTTTATTTACTTTATTTTTTATTTTTATTTTTTGAGATGGAGTCTCACTCTGTCGCCCAGGCTGGAATGCAGTGGCGGGATCTCATTTCACTGCAGCCTCTGCCTCCCGGGTTCAAGTGATTCTCCTGCCTCAGCCTCCTGAGTAGCTGGGACTACAGGTGTGCACCACTATGCCCAGCTAATTTTTACATTTTTAGTAGAGACAGGGTGTCGCCATATTGGCCAGGCTGGTCTCGAACTCCTGGCTTCAAGTGATCCTCCTGCCTCAGCCTCCCAGAGTGCTGGGATTACAGGCACGACCACCGCACCCAGCCTTTATTTACTTTGTATATCTCATCTATTACTGCTGCAGTTTGCAGAAGAGAGGATGCCCTCAAACCTAACTTCTCCAAACCATCCCAAATGGGAAGTCTGCTCCACGTCAACAGCATTGTTGCTTTTAAAGACTATACGTCAACATGCCAGATTATAGCAAAAGGATGTCGAGGGAGCAATAGGAAAGCAAGCCTGAGAGTCCTGGAGAGAAGGTGGCAGAGCTGCCTTTTGAAGGTGGTTCCTTCCTCAGACCCTGCCCTTCCTGCCTTGTTCCTCCAGTTGCCAGATTTGCTGTTGGAGCTCCTCCACGGGCGAAGAGGTGAGGCTGGACTGAGAGGGAGATGGAGAAGCTGCCAGAGATTCTTTTGGATCTAGAATTGAGACAGCAGTTCCAGCCAGGTCCAGAGGTGGGGGCTGTCACCCAGCCCCCAGGGGAATGGTACTGATTGCAGAATGTGGCGAGAACTCCCTGGCTGGGAGAGGGAGGTGCTTGCTCCCTTGAATCACCTGAGCCCAGGCTGGAAGGCCCAAGGGGGAGGACGAGGCCAGCTCACTCCAGCTCCATCCCCTCCCTTTAACCCTAAGCTAGTTAACCCTCCCAGACTCCAGTCCTTTTTCCTAAGTGCCCTCCCTGCAAAGTCTGCACCGAGCAGCGCTCCCTCGCACCAGCTCACCCTGCACTGTCTTGTCTTTCAGCAACCCCATGGGTTTGAACTTGAGACGATTCATGTTCCTAAAAGCCTCTTTGGGCTGAGGGAAGGCATGGGTGGCTCTGCCAGTTTTGGAGTGGGGGCCGACTCTTCTCAGAGCCGCTGCAAGGGCCAGGGCCACCCTCCCAGGCGGGTGTCTCTGGGCTGGGCAGCAGCTTTGTAGGCAGCCTGGGTCATCCCCACTGGTCTGGGAAGCTGGGGGTGCACCGGCTCCTGCTCCTGATAGGGCCAAGGCACCTTCCTTACCTAAGAGCTGACTTTCTTGAAGAGTGGGCACAGAGGAGCCGGCAACCTGGGCTGTGTAGGCACCCAGGAGAAAATCTGCAGCTCAGTATCAGAAGTCTCCACCAGCACGGCTGTTGCAGAGATGGGGAAACTGGGCTGAGAGGGAAGGGGGCTTGCCCAAATCACCAGCCCTGGAATGTTTGGAGCTTTGGGGGTGGATCTCCCAGGAAACGTGTTTTTATGGCACCACCGCCTCTGGTCACCCACCCCGAGGTGTGGCGGGCCTGGACAGCCAGCTTGACTGAGGGCCAGGCTGGTGAAGTCAAAACTACCACTCAGGAAGAAGACCTAGCCCTTCTCCAGACAGAGTTCAAATGTGAGGACTGCCTTCTTTGGGCCTCAAATTCCCCACATGAATTCCAAGGACCCCTCTAGCTCCTACACTCTGGGCCAAGGTTTCCTCTGAGCCGCAGTCAGCCTAGAGGACCTAGGATACATCTTCCTTGGACAGAGACCCACCATAGGGGCAGCAGGAGGTAGGGGTGGGGGTAGGCAAGATTCCTGTGGGGAGGTGGAGCTGTCATCAGAGATGGTGTCTGCAGGCAGTGGGTGTATCGTGGCTCTGCTACTACTTGCTGGGTGGCCCCATGACGTTTCTTTCCCCACTCTGACCTCAGTTTCCCTATCTGTTCTGTGGAGATAAGATGCCTGCCTACATATTTGTGGACTGGGATGTGTGTGGGCCAGTTGCAGTGTTTCTTGGTGTGGTCCTGGGGCAGGCTGCACCACCCCATAGAGATTTCTGGGCCCCACCCTAGGCTCACAGGACCAGAATCTCTGGGAATGAAGCCTGGGAATTTGCATTTCCACAGGCATCTGGCTGATTCTGACATGACTGAAAAGCACTAATAGTATATAGCAAGCTCTTTATAAAAGGTAAATTCATAGCTGCCTTTTACTAAACATAAATCTCACCTTCCCTTCCTCAGTTAAGGACACACACCACAGTTGAAAATCACTGTGCCTTTCCAGATGCAGAATCTGACCTTTCCGATAAGATTCTGTTAACTGCTGCTTTCTGCAGTTTGTATTCCAAAACAAGGGGAATATGTTTCCATTTTTTCAATACAAATGTTTAAGTCGGATATGCTTTCTCAAACTGGACACACACTCACACAGCTTAGGGTTTCAGCTATGGCTTCCTCTCAAATTATTAGCCTCTTTCTGCCAGGGAGCAGTTTTTCCCAGACAAGACCCTGGACAGAGGTTGGTGGGGCCCTCCTCATCAGAATCACTAGATTATGACTGACCCCTAGAGGTGGCTTTTCTGCTTAAGTGTCAGCCCATGGGCTGGGTTGTGACCCCCAAAGCTGCGGCAGAAGCTTCCACCCATCCTGGGCCCCCCCTGCCATCTATGGGGAAAGGCCTGTCCCTTGTCTTCTGGGCCCAGCCGGCCTCACAGGCATTCAGCAGATTGGAAAGTCGAAGCATGTGCTGTGCTTGGCTGGGCTCTCCTGCGCCCCTTTTTGGGGTGAGGTGGAGTGCATCCAGCCCCCAGAATCCCTGCCGTTTATTCCCACCCCTCATCCCCACCCCCATACACACTCACAAGTACAAACACAAGCACAGTCACTGGCACACACCACTCTGGACAGCACCATTTCCAGCCTCAGCGGGGCAGTTTCCTTACAGGGAAGTTAATGAGGCACTAACGAAGGCTCAGGGGACAGGGGGAACCTCTATCGAGAAGAGGCTCCTAGACCTGGTTCTGCCTCTGAATTGCTGGGGGTCCTTGAGAAAGTTGCTATCCCTCTCTGGTCTCAGTTTCCTCAGGTGAGAAATGGGGGGCCGGCCAAATGGTCTAAGGTTCTGGGAACCTCTAAATCAGAGCCCATAGCTGGTGGTCAAGATGAGGGAGAGGCCCTCAGGGTCAGCCGAATGACTGAGAGGCCGGACAGGCCCAAAGGTGAGCAACGTGAGCACATCAGGTGGGCTCAGAGCTGGCGCATGAGCCCCACAGCCTGCAGAGCAGCCCTGTACTCGGGAGCCCGCTCGCACCAACCCAGTGGGACTTCAGAGATGTGGGGTCCAGCCTTTCCTACTATTGCTGGGCTGAGGGCTGGGAGCTGCAGATTCTGACCCCACAGCTGCCTTAGACATGCCAGATGGTCTGGGGCAAGACACACCCCTCTCTATGAAATGAGCAGCCAGTCCAAATAGGTACATTAGAGAAGGGCTGTGGGATGGACCCAGCTGTAGCCTGGGGCTACAGACTGGCTTCCGGGGTACTCAAGCAGCTGGCCTCTGGGGTAGCAGCCCCAGGTATGAGAGGCAGGACTCAGAATCTAGGCCAAGCCTCCATAGGAATCCCCTCTGGAGAGCCCGGGCACTCTGCAGGAGGGGCAGCAGGCAGCAGGTGCACCAGGAGCATGTTTCACAAGGTGCCCAATATCGCATCTGCTCAGATAGGCAGCGAGTTGGAAAGTGGATGCAATAGGCAGGGTGGTGGCTGCTCCCCACAGCCAGGAGTCCGGCCCAGCACCCACCTGAGTCCGCCTCAGTCCTGCTCAATTGGGTTATCTGTGCTCTTGGCCCTCTGGTCCCACCCACAGAGGGAGGTCTTTGGGGCGACCAGGTGAGCTGGCCCTTGTGGGAGGATGTAACTGACTCCTGAGCCTGGCGAGCCAGGCAGCCCCTCGCCAACATCCCCACCCCTACCTCTCCAGCCCCCCCGCATTCCCTGATCCTCCCATCCGCTCCCCTGACCCAGCAGTTGCCTCTGCTCACTCTCTTTTCCTGCTCCCAGGCTCGCCTGGTCATGTGTCCTTCACTCTCCTCTGAGTCTCCCTCTTTCCAAGCCGCCTCCACTCTACTTGACACACTCTCCCTTAAGACACCAGAGTACACAAGTGCAAGTCTCTGCACCTCACCTTTACTCCCAGACATGGGAGGGAGATGACATGAAGACCCAAACGCCACTTAGCAGGAGATCTGGGGTATGCAGAGGGGCAGAACGGAGGCTGTGGAAGCTCCAGGGGCTCCCTGCAGGAGGCCACATGTAAGCTGGCTATTGAATGTGGCTCTGAGCTGAGATCTCTCCTTGAAGCTCCAGACCAGGGGCCAGCTGCTAGCTGGACCCCTCCATTTGGTGCCTCAGAGAAACTTTGCACTCTCTAGGTCTAACTTTGAACCCAGAAAATTCCCCCATGTCGGCCCTGTCTCTTCATAGGGAAAGCACCACCTCAGACCCAGTTCTGCACCAAACCCACATTTGAGTCACGAGGCTCCTGCCCTGCACTGTGAGCACTCTGGATAAGCCAGTGCTGAGGGGGAAAGAGCTCTGAATGCCAAGCCAAAACATGAGCTTCAACTCCACCTCCAGCTCTGAGAGCTGTGGGTAGGGAAGGGCCCTCGTCCAGTTTGCTGTAGAAAGATCAGTCTGCCACTGTATGGCACATGGATGGCAGGGGCAGAGTGCAGGTGGAGAGAACAGAAGGTGGGCAGGGCGGGGGAGGCAGGGACATGGCTGTAGCCGTGGAGATGGGAGGACAGACAGGACTTGGTGGCCACTTGGGTGAACCAAGGGAGGAGTCAGGAAGAGACACCCAGTTTTGTATCAGATGTGTAGAGCGTGGGATGCTGTTCATTGACGGAGGGAGGAGGAGGAGGAAGAGGTATGGCATGGGGAGGAGGTAGCTGAGCTCTGTCGTGAATGTCATTTGAAGTCCCCAGGGAAAGCCAGGCCGGCCAGCACCTTCACTGCTTCAGCCAGCTCTCAGGGTGTCTGTGCTCCCTGGCCCTCTCAGCTCCTGCTTCATAGCTGTCAGCTGCAGTGGGAGACAGCTGCACAAGGGCCCAGCATGTCTGTGTGTTTACCCAGGGGACTGCCGCATGGCCCATGCCGAGCAGAAACTGATGGACGACCTTCTGAACAAAACCTGTTACAACAACCTGATCCGCCCAGCCACCAGCTCCTCACAGCTCATCTCCATCCAGACGGCGCTCTCCCTGGCCCAGTGCATCAGCGTGGTAGGTGCAGAGGGTACCTGTGGCTCAGGCTCAGGTGAAGAGGCAGCTCATGCCCAAGCCCTAAGCAGTCAATGTCCAGAGGAATGAAATGACTAGAGTTGACTTAGACTCACCAGTACACGGTGGGGAGGCTGGAGGAGGGTCCATGAGGTTTATAGGTGTCCAGTATTTAATGAGGTCATGGTTTTGTTAACAAAGAAGAAATGAGGGTGGGAGCGAGATCACCACTGGCTAGGCAGCCAATGGGCCTGCAGAGACTCTGCTCAGCTGAGTCTCCAGCACGACCATGAGCTTCTCCTCCTCATCCTCCCAGCCCCACCCTACTCTCTCCCCCAGCTTGCTCAACAGGTGACCTTATAGGCTCCCTACTCTTTGCAGGGAATAAGAACCAGACTGGGGGAACTGACGGGTACAGAGGCCCAGGTGTAGGCGCAGGACCACAGGCAGTGAAGCGTCTACTGACCCAGGCGGGTGAGGGTCTGGAGAGTGGGCATGGCTGCTGCAGGCATGGAAAGCAGGCACAGATGGCAGCACTCCCAGGGCCCATTGTCAGGGTCTCCACATGTGGACGTGTGCAGAGGTGGGGGTGCTGAGGGAGGAGGGGCAGGGAATTTCTCATCTTCTCTCTACTGCCTCTGAGTTGGAGATGTCAGAGGGAGCCATGGCCCACTGTAAAGTAACACAATGTCCCCACCCACAGGATTAGAACCCCTCCCCTGGAAGCAGCTCTGAGGGGAACAGTCACATGTAGAGAGTGCAGGGCACTGTGTCCAGCCGGGGGAAGGAGGTCACCAAGGGGGTTGACCCCCCTCTGGCCAGGTGGCTGCCTTCTGACACACCAGCCTCTGTCTCTAGCACGGTGGCCCCCACACACCCAGCCTGTGAAACCTACAGCCCTCAAGAAGGCTTTGGCCAAATTAATGAGCGGCTCCCTCTCCCAGGAGGAAGCACAGGTGAAGGATGTGGAGGGCAGTAGAGTTGTGTGTGCTCCGCCCCCTTTCTCCGCAGTCGGATGGAAAGAAGGGGGCTTTCAGCCAGGCTCGCCCAGGCTGGGGTCTGAGTGTCACTGTCCAGCTATTGGCTTCTTGCTTAATGGGTGAGCCCAGCTGCTCCCGTGCAGCTGCCGCCCTAGTGAGGGTGAACCGGCAGGCGAGTTACATTTCTGAAAGCCTGGGAATACAGTAAATATTAGGCTGTGGGCTGCTGGGCCAGGAAGAGTTGTTTATTTTTCAGGGTTTGTTTATCTATTGACTTGATGAGGGAGGGTTATAGGTACAACCAGTTTAAAGATGGAAATTTTGAGAGAGCAGGCAGGGATTTAGTGCTGGGTAAGCCTGGTCAAAGCGGCTCTTTTGGGGCGGCCAGAATCCAGTACCAATGTCCTCAGCATGTTCATCAGCTGCTGGGGGAGTGCGGGACAGCATGAAAGCACAGGAGAACTTTCTGGATGATAGAAATACTCTGTATCTTCAAAGGAGGTGGGTTCCATAGTAATGTTAAATGAGTTAAAACTCATCAAAATGTAAACCAGACCTGTGCATTTCACTAATAGAAATTATACCTCCAATTAAAAACATGTTTTAAAAGACAGATGGGCCAGATGCAGTGGCTCATACTTGTAATCCC